>NC_000001.11:206214890-206366405 GCF_000001405.40 Homo sapiens
TAACCCTTCTCTCTATTTCACCCACACAGTTCTTCTCTTAATAGATCTCATATGGCATTGATCTCATACTGCCTTATGTTTGGAATATTTGTATTTCATTCTTTTTTCTTCTACCAGACTTCTGAATGTAGGAATGTTTTGAAGTTGTGTAGTGCAATGCAAAGAATACAGGCTCTGGAACCAGCCCTCAGTTGGAGTCTTGTCAGCATCACCTCCTTGCTGTGTGACCTTGCTGAAGTCACTCAACTTCTCTTCCAAGCCTCCTTTTCTGTGATGTGGAGATAATGAGACCTGCCTTGCTATTAATTGCAGTTGTGTTAAGAGTACTGGCTCAGTGTATGGCAAATATTAAATGCTAAATAAATAGCTTATTATAAGGTCCCTTCAGATAGGAAACGTGTCTGGAAGACTATTGTAGCTCAAATGGTGGCTCTCAGTAAACACTTATTGTCTGTAGTACTGAATGAATGGATGACCTAACTACTACAAATAATCTTTTAGAAATAGTTTAATTGTATCTTGACACTGTGTCTTGCACAATGTCACCAGAGTGATTTTTAAAAACTCATTTTTTTTTTGCTAACATCGTAGCATAAAAGACTGTTAATATTAATCACTTCCCACTTACCCTGCTTACATTTTATACTGCCTTACAGCTGAACTGCCTCTAGTTTCCTTTCTTTATCATGTTGTGTCATGGTTTGTGCTGTATCCATGCTGTGCCCTCTCTTTGGAATGGGTCCTCTTCCTTGAACCTGTAAAACTTATTCATCCTTTAAAGCAGCTCAGATGCCACCCCTCCAGGAAGCCTTCCCTGCTCCCCTGTGCGGGATCCCAAGCAGGATTCCTCAGCATCTCCCCTTGCCTTCTGCACAGAGTTCATCAGTATGCTCTCAGCATCTCCTCTGCAGTGTCTTTGTACACTCTTGTATTATTGCACTCATCATATTACATTGCGATCTCTTCATTTACATCTCTTTGTTTACAACTCACTGAGCACCTTCAGGAAAGAATGGTCTTTTATTCATTTCTGCATGTCCAGCTCCTGACACATAGTAAGCACTACAATGTTTATAAGTTGAATTGAACTGTCTTCTGAGTTGAGTTTGGATGTGATAGTGCCATGATGGCACGCTTCTGCATTTCTCCCCGACTCCAGTAAGAAACCCATGCCCTATGTTAATATTATTTGAAATTTGATATAGATTAAACTTTGTGAATATATTTGCATTATACAAGGACAAGTACAAACTACATAGCCTTATGGATCCTCCCCCACGGGGGTGTGTTTCTCCTTAAATTTATTGCTGGCACAGCCCTCTTTAGAATCACTGCCCTCTTTAGAGTCACTGCCCTAGAGCTATACTTGCTTTGACCAAATTTCTTCAGTCACATCTCTTACCTTGGAAACCAAGAAAAATGTTAACACTGAAATTCCCGAGAGTTTAAAACAAACATAAGGCTTTCTGTAATTGAAGCAAAAACACATTCTACGTTTGTCCAGGATTTATTCACCATTTTAATCAGGCACTAAAAGTCTAAGTTTGAGAAAGTTTGTCTGTCTTGACCTGGAGTTAAAACTGGGTTGACCTGAAAAAGGAACTGTTTTGTTCCTTTTTCAAAGCACGGTGTGGAGAGAGCTATTGCCTGGTTAGAAGCAGCTGTGAGATCTTTGGTAAATGGGGAAGGAGAGGTCCTAAGGAACAAGCAGGAAAATGGTCCCTTATGATTTTTCAAGTCATTTGGTATGAAATAGCCTTGACCTTATTTATACGTTGTGAATGAATGGTTCTGAACTTGAAATATGTATTCGTGAGGAAGGAAAAACAGTTGGGACATGTTCCTCCATTTTGGTGTATATTTTAGGATATCATCCTTTAGGAAGAAGGCATATTCTCTTTGTTTTTTTGTTTGTTTGTTTGTTTGTTTGTTTGTTTTTCTTAACCATATCTTCTAAATGCATTAATCAGTGGAGAGGTGACCCAGAAATCACTGTGAAAGTTGGGACCTTATCTTTGCTGTTTGAGCCCAGATCTTGCATTTAGAATCATGGCATGGTGGGCAGGATCTGAATACTCTCCCTGGAGAAGATGACCCTGGCAGCCATGGGTGGCTGGGTGGCCAGGGCTCCACAGGAGGACAAAGCACAGAAAACAAAGGGACTTAAGAGCATGAGCTGGCCATGACAAGCCATGCCATAAGCTTTAAGAAATATGTCTTGTTTCTGAAGAGTTGGCTGTTGCCAACTCTTCTCCAAACATTGAAATCCCTTAGAAATCTGCTTCCTTTCCCCATTAGATTTTGTGTGTGCGTGTGTTTATTATTTTGGTAGGCGGTGGAGATACTGCACTAGAGCTTGTCAGATGAGTAAGCTGCTCTTTGGGAAGACATCTTGACTGAGGTACCTATTCTGGAGCAACATTTCTTTTGGGCCAATACAGTACTTTGTTACGCGTTGAGCTACAGGATTCTACACAGGCAGAATGATCCTAAGGGAAAGTGCTGGATTGGGAGGCAGAAAGCTTGGGTTCTAGTTTAGCTTTGTCATTGGCTACCATGATTTTGGAGATAACTCACCTAAGGTCTCAAAATCCCTAGTTTCCCTATAAAATCCCTGTAAGATGGGAACAACAATTCTTGGCCCTTATAATAATGATGATGATGATGGTTAGCGTTTATCAAGTGCTTCTTATGTCTCAGCTCTGTTTTAGGTGCTTTACATATATGAACTCATGAATTTCTCAACAGTCCTGTGAGGTAGCTGCTATTATTATCCCCATTTTACAGATGACGCACAGTGAGGTTAAATAACTTGCTCTGAAGCACATGGCTAGTAAGTGATGAGGACAGATTATGAACCCAAGCTGACTTAACACTGGTGTGAAGCTGAAATGAAAGAATTCAGTTGAAACTATGAGATGCTGTACACACTCAGTTGATTGTCCTCATTTCCTAGTAACTTGGTACAATAAAGAATTAATGCAGTGTTTTAAATGTCTTTCTGTTACATACCTACTGTACCTCCCTATGCCTTGGTATTCTCATCTAAAATACTAGGGGTTAAACATTAGAAACTTTCTAAGGTCCTTCCAGCTTTCAGGGTTCATGATTTTTGCTTATTAATACGTTGAAGATCGGCCTGGCTGGGTGGCTCAAGCCTGTAATCCCAGCACTTTGGGAGGCCGAGGCAGGCGGATCACCTAAGGTCAGGAGTTCAAGACCAGCCTGGCCAACATGGTGAAACCCTGTCTCTATTAAAAATACAAAAATTAGCTGGGCATGGTGGCGGGTGCCTGTAATTTATCTTAGCTACTTGGGAGCCTGAGGCAGGAGAATTGCTTGAACCTGGGATGCGGAGGTTGCAGTGAGCCCAGATCGCACCATTGCACTCCAGCCTAGGTGACAGAGCAAGACTCCGTCTCAAAAACAAACAACAAAAAAGATGTTGAAGATGATGATTTGTCCCTTTTAAGTAGACACACTTTGAAGTACAAAAACCATTATATTCTCTGAATGACATTCTTTCCACCCCCAGAACTTGCCATGCCTGCATGGCTGCTGCACACTTATGGAGGGTAGGCCCCAGGTGGTAGGTAGTACCAGAGTGGCAGCTGGCCTGGAGAGCAGTTGAAGTGATACTTGTTGAAGTATCACGATCTAATAGGAAGATGTGCCTCACAGCTGGAGAAAAATCGAGGGGAGAGAGAGTTACTTGATGGACCTACAGGTGAACTTGTGACTGGATCACTTTAATCAGGATGTTTTAATCAGGATAACTATTAAACTTTGGACTTCCAGTAAGCTCAGAGACTTCTAGAGTTAGAAAATTCCCTGCTGTAACTGGTTTGTATGGTTTTCCCCATCCATGTTGGTAGGTCAGAAATGGAATTTGTGTAACTCTTAGTATTACAGATATTTATGTTGTTGTGTGCAGTACTTAAATTTAAAAGAAAAAGGAAGTTGATTGATTGTCCTTAATGAAAATTAAAGAAATAAGGAAGTGGGAGGCTCTTAATCTCTGACATCTGGTCTGGGACAAACCTGGGGGAGGCAGTGTGGTTATGGAACTGGTATAGGGTTGATCTAGACATCTGGGTTGTTCGGGAAGTGACTTCAGGCCCTTTTAGGATGTGGAGTGGCCTCTTGCCTCTTACATTGCTCTTTATGTATTAGGCCTTTTGTCAACTAAGGATTTCTTTGAGGATTGTGATGAAGCATGCTGTAATGTGGAATTGAAATGTTTTCATGTTTATGTTTGTTTTCCTTTCGCCTAATGAATAGGCTAGTAATAGTCTGTTGTTTTAAATGAGTACTATTAATAATAATGACAGCTCATATTTTTATCATTACAGCATTTAAAAAATATCATTCATAGGGAGGAAGAAATGTAGGGTAATGGAGGACCAGCTATGTAATGTTGAAGATGTCATTCCACCTTTGGGATTCTCAGCTTCTCAGCTGGAAAGTGGAAAGATGGATTACTAGTTCCTAGCTTCATGATTTTTAGGACATATGAACAAAAAATGGCTATTGTTAAGTGAGTTGTCACATAGAGTCTAGATGTTGATTATTGTCCTGGGGGAAGGATAGAAACCAGAGAATAGATAGCACAGGTTCTTCCTACTCCCCTCTTCTACTTCTGGTTTAAGGTTTCATCTTTTTTTTTTTTTCTTTGTTTTCTTCTTAAAGGTTTCATCTTTAAATGACATTAATTAGGCTTTGTGTTTTTAGCCATTTTTAGAGTCCGTTGTGCTGTATCTCCTGATCTCTCTTTTTCAGTGATTTGTGGTTATGTAAGTTATCTCAGTTCTTTGCTGTCAGCAATTTTAAATCAAACATTGAAGCATTTTGGGTAGATGACGTGTTACTTTGATTAATGAGGTTCTTGATCTGGATATTTTAAGGCCAGTAACAACACAATATGGAAACACCTAATTCTCCTTAAAACTGCAGTAGTGTTCTCACTGCCAAAGCTGAAACCGATTTGTGCTGGTTACTTCTTTCTAAGAGTGAATGTGTGCGTATGAGCTTTCTTTTGCTGTTTTGGCCAGGGAGTGGGACTGCCAGTCCAGAAAGGCCAGCTCTTCTGGATTCAGTAGCAAAAGAGTTAATCATTAAGCAGAGACAGAAACCTCCCAAGTTTCTAACCTTCTCTTGCGTTAAATCTCCTTACTCTTATTAGAAGAAAAGGCATATGCACACTTATGCATGCGCGTGTGCACGCACGCACACAAACACCATACACACAAATACTCTAACAAAACTTAATGTAAAATGATCTCATGTTTATGAGAGCTGGAATTACTTGGGAGGGATACTTGTGTTCTGCAGGCTTAGTGGGCACGATGTGAAAGCAAGGCTATTTGGCCTGTGGAGATTGAAGATAAGAGCGTGATATGTAATTGAGTAAGAATTTGAAAAATTATCCGATAACGTTAGGAGCAGCAAAGCAACTGCTTCTACTTTTTTATGCTTGAAACTATTTGGAGTAGGAGTGAGGAGCTAGCATTGTTTTCAGGGCATGGGAACCCCCTCCCCACCTCACTAGCCAAATATGTTTGCCTAGGCCGAGAGTGTCAGATCTCTGAGAGATCTTGACAGAGTATTTAAATACATTCTGCCCTCGGACAGTTCTTCAGTGTTAATCATTTCAGGAAAAGGGCCGTCAGCTAACCTTTAAAATCCTTTCCAGAATAGTATACCACAGCCCACCTTCCCATCTTGTTCCAGTGACCCAATCTATAAATGGTCAGTTCCTTCATTTGCAGAACTTGAAATAGTTTAAAGAAGAGACTTGATGAATTGAACTCATGTTTTTGCTGCTGTGGCCACACCCTCTTTACAGACATTTGCTTCATTTGGGTTCTCAGCAACTTGGGAAGGAGGAGGCTATTGATGAAACTTTCAAGGCGTTGGCTTATAGCTACTGGAGTGTTCTTTCCTGTCCCCTCCCCTCCTCACTTCCTCCAGTGTTGGGACACTTTGTATTGAACAAGAAGATCATGAGCTAATTTCAACCTGGCAGCCATTTATTTAGCACCTACTGTATGTTGTCTTTTTTTTTTTTTTGAGGCAGAGTCTTGCTCTGTCACTCAGGCTGGAGTGCAGTGATGTTATCTTGGCTCACTGCAACCTCCGACTCCCGGATTCAAGTGATTCTCCTGCCTCAGCCTCCTGAGTAGCTGGGATTACAGGCACGTGCCACCACGCCTGGCTAATTTTTAAATTTTTAGTAGAGACAGGGTTTCACCATGTTGTTCAGGCTGGTCTCGAACTCCTGACCTCATGATCCGCCTGCCTCAGCCTCCCAAAGTGCTGGGATTATAGGCATGAGCCACCGTACCTGGCCTATATGTTTTATACTATGCTAAGCTGTGGGCATAGAGAGATACAGAAAAAAGTTTCTGCCTTCAAGGAGCTGCAGTCTATTAGAAATGTCTTAGTCCGTTTTCTGTTGATTATAACACAATGCCTGAAACTGGGTAATTTGCAAAGAAACCATTTTTTTTTTCCGGTTCTGGAGGCTGGGAAGTCCAAGATTGAGGGCTGAATCTGGTGAGGGCCTTCTTGCTGATGCGAACTCTCCACAGAGTCCCAAGGTGGCGTAGGATATCACATAGAGAGGGAGCTGAGTGTGTAAACTTGCCAGCTCGGGTCCCTCTTCCTCTTCTTAAAAAGCCACTAGTTTCACTGCCAAGATAACCCATTAATCTATTAATCCATTCATGATGACATGCCTTCATGATCCAGTCACCTCTTGAAGGCCCCACCATGGGGATTAAGTTTCAACATGAGTTTTGGAGGGGACATTCAAACAATAGCAAGAGGGGTGATCGGATTACACAAGTACAGTGATAGGGTCATAGTAGAGAGATATCGAAGGCTCTGTGGATAAGGAATAGTCTAACAGTGAGTAATGCTGATGAGACTGGTTGATAGAGGAAGATGATGATGTTACCTAGTATTTACAGGGCACAAGGCAGTCGAAGTGCCTTGCCATACTTTATCTCATTTAACCTCAGAATTGTACAACACAGGGCAGGATGATATCCGGCCTTTTTTTTTTTTTTTTTTTTAATATTTTATTTTGAGATAATTATGCATTCACATGCAGTTGTAAGAAATAATGCAGAGAGATTGCACATACCTGTTACTTAGATTCCTCTGATGGTTAACATCTTGCAAAACTATAACACAATATCATAATCAGGACCTTGACATTGATACAGTCAAAATTCTAAACAGTTCCATCACTGCAAGGATCACTCATGTTGTCCTTTTCTAGTCCTGCCCCTCCCAGTTCACTCTTTCATCTCACCCCACTTTAGTCCTTAGTCCTTAACTGCTGGCAACCACTAATCTCTTGTCCATGTTTATAATATTGTCATTTCAAGAATATTATAAAAATGGAACCATTAGCATGTAGCTTTTTAGGATTGGCCTTTTTTTTTCACTGAGCACAAGTCTCTGAAGACTCATTCAGGTTGTTGTGCATATCAATAGTGTATCCCTTTTTATTGCTGAGCAGTATTCTATGGTATGAATGTATGATGGTTCGGACATATGGGTTGTTTCCTATTTTAGGCTGTTATGAATGAAGCTGCTCTGAACATTCATGTATAGATTTTTGTGTATACAGGTATTTTTTAGAAAATAGAGATAAGCCAGGCATGGTGATGTGTACCTATAGTCCCAGCTACTCTGGAGGCTGAGGCAGGAGAATCTCTTGAGCCCAGGGGTTCAAGATGAGCCTGGGCAACATTTTGGAGATCCTGTCTCCAAAAAAAAAAAGATGGAGGTAGTTTTTTGTAATGGCAAGATTGTACATTAGAAGATAGAAAAGTAGGTTTTGCATCTTACTCGGGAAGATATATGTATATTTCTCTCCCTTTGGACTGATCATTTAAG
The DNA here is from genome assembly GCF_000001405.40 of Homo sapiens. Classification (NCBI taxonomy): domain Eukaryota; kingdom Metazoa; phylum Chordata; class Mammalia; order Primates; family Hominidae; genus Homo; species Homo sapiens. The sequence continues at coordinate 206,222,799 of NC_000001.11, forward strand.
TTGTCTCAATTTCCTTATCAAGAAACTGGCATAATATATGTTCTGCCTACATCCCAGGGTGGTTGTATAGATAAACTGAGATAATATATGGCCTCCTCCCAAGTAACTGGGATTACAGGTGCGTGCCACCACGCTGGGCCAATTTTTGTATTTTCAGTAGAGACGGGGTTTCACTGTGTTGGCCAGGCTGGTCTTGAACTCCTGACCTCAAGTGATCCTCCCACCTTGGCCTCCCAAAGTGCTGGGATTACAGGCGTGAGCCACCGTGCCCGGCCTCAGAGTAGTTCTTAAATTGCAATCTAGAGACAACTCTTTTAGGCCATCTTGCTTTTTCTAATAATTGATGTGTAGATGTTCCTTTTATATTCTGTTTACTCATTGTTGACGATTATAGGTTGCAATACCTGCTCCCAGATTTAGTTTATCATCTTACTTTTAATTGAATTATTTGATATATAAGAAATTCCAAGTCCAAGCATGGTGGCTAACACCTGCAATCCCAGCACTTTGGGAGGCCATGGTGGGAGGATCACTTGAGTCCAGGAGTTTGAGACCAGCTGAAGCAACATATTAAGACTCTGTCTCTACCAAAAATACAAATAAGTTAGCTGGGCATGGTGATGCACTCCTATAATCCCAGCTACTCAGGAGGCTGAGGTGGGAGGATCACTTGAGCTCTAGAGGCCAAGGCTGCAGTGAGCCGTGATCATGCCTCTGCACCCTAGTCTGGGTGACAGAAGGAGACCCTGTCTCAAAAAAAAAAAAAAAAAGAAAGAAATTCCAAATTTAATATAGTCAAATTTACTTTTTGTTAAAGAAATTAATTTTCTTTACTGTTTTGATTTATTTAAAAGACAAACACACACAATCATAAGGATATTCTTCTATATTTTCACCTACACATTTTGCCTTTCACATAACGTCTTGAATAAACAAGGAGTAAATTTTCGTGAACAGCGTGAGGTAGGGATCTAACTTTATTTTATATTCCATGTGGCTATATTTATTAAAGGGTTCATCTTTTTCCCCATTGATTTGTAATGTCTCATTTGTACATACATTAAGTTTATTATACATATTTGTGGGCAAGATGAGTTCTCCATCATGCTGTAGCGGTGCTGCCGCTGGATGTGCATCAGGGGTTGCTGATGAGGGAGTCAAATATTTTCCCCTTTGAGGTAGCAGCACTAGGCTGTCCCCACAGCTCCAACCAGAATAGCTCTGCTTTTATGTTCACGATATTGGGTGTCCCGCTAAGATTTTATTTGAATAACTTTTTAGATGGAACAATTTTAAAAGTTAAAAACTACCATTTTTAAACAAATTACATTTTGGATCGTTTTTTGAGATAGCAAGGGTTTCGTCTCTCATCTTGGGTTGGATGAAAAGTGTAAGACAACACAGAACTCAGAACCTAGCAGCGAGGGAAGTGCATGTTTTTCAAAGGGAAAGGAATGTGTTATTTTGCAGTTGTCAGTAGTTCCAAATATATCAACTATTCCACAAAATAATGAGTATGTAGTTTCTGTGAGAGACTTAGAACTGTCTAGAGCCTAGTCCTTATTGTCTGTGATCATAGAAACCATGGAGGAAAAAAGCCTACCTATACGAAAGTAGTTAAAAAAAAAATAACCCACAGCAATACAAGAAATGACATCAGCCAGCAGATGACTGAAAATGAGTGGTGTTGATAAGAACTTGAGGAATTTTGAGATGGGAGAGGTGTGGGCCAGAATGAATAAGACCTTGATTTATGGACTAGGATTTGGCTAAGTCGAGAGTAGGAGGAAAGAACAGAGGCAGTGTGTCTTCCCTCAGTGGAGTTCCCACAGCCCCCACCGTGCTTACCGCTCCTGCATCACTTCCTACACCCTAATACAATGATGGTTTTATCCACCCTCACCCCCACCCCCACGCTCCTTCCCCCAGACTACACTCACTACCAGAAAGCTTGTGAGTTCTTTGAGGGTGGGCAGTGGGCAGCCTGTCATTTCAACATTCCCAGCCTCCTGCACCATGTTTGCATGTGGTAGGCACCCAATAAATGTGTGCTGAGTGAGGGAGTAGACTCTTGGGCTGGAGCAGAGGAGTTATAGACAGAGGAGTAAGATCGAACTGGATAGTTTTTGATGACCTTGAAGATCAGCCAGAGTCTGGCTTCATACTGGGGCAACAAAGAACAGTGGGGGCACTCTGAGTTGAAGAGTGATGAAGTGTGATGAAGTCATTTCAGAGGGACTCCCTGGTTGCTCTGAGTTGCCTGGCTGGGGGCAAGAGGCTTGTTCCTGCCCACACAGCATACCAGGCCTTGTGGTGGGTGCTGCAAACATGCTGTTAAATGTGATCAATTACTGGAGTCACCTGTGAGGGAATTGCGAGTCCCCATTTACTGAACAAGAAATTTGAGTCAGGCAGATGATCCGAGGTGATGGTGACCCATGATGGAATGGGGACTGCAGCTCAGGTCTGTCCAACTCTAAAGCCTGCTGGTTCTTTTATCTTGGATATTATGTTTGACCACACTGTAATCAAGAGATACCACTAAGATGGGAAGATGAGCTGCCGAGATGGGTGTGGGGCCTAGGGGTGAAGTAAGACTCAGGAATGCCTGAGGTTTTTAGTTTGGGAGACAGGGAGAACGATGGTGGCAATGGCAGAAATAGACATATGGAAGCCAGGAAGAGGTGCAGCAGTTGGTGAGAGAATGAGCATTATTTTAGATACCCTGAGTTTGAGATGACAGTTCCATTCAAGCAGGAATTTCATTAGGCAAGTGACAGTGCCACCCCCATCCGCCTTTCATTAAATCTGTCATTTTCTTTTCTTCTAAATTGGGAATGTTGCAGAGAAACTGTGAAATAGATGACACCCCTTTTACGTGCCAAATACCTGACCTCCTTTTGCAGCTTCTTACCTTTCACTTTCAGAAATATTCTCCCTTGAAGGGGCTTCGTGTTTGTTTGCAGGAATTAATAGCATTTTCTTTCCCTGTGCCCTGTAGGGAAAGAGCACAGCTAAACAAGGAGAGAGAAAACTGGAGTTCTGAGCTGCCTTGCTCCGAGTTTGGTTGGAGGCCCCTTATGAGGGTCAGCTGGGAATGAAAGAAAAGTCAAGTCAAGCTCTGCCAGCACCCTCCACCACCTGACCTCCCATGGGTGACTGAAGAGCCAGCTAATGAACAAGTTCTTTTAAAGGCAGCCTGGGGAGTGTGGGAGAGGCTGAGTTCAGCAAAACATGACTAGGTGGTGCTGGTGCTGTTTCGGGGTGTGGAGGCAGAAGTGGTTGATCTCCTTAATTTGAATAACTTTGGAATGGGGAGATGGCGCTTTGATAGAGGATTTGATTGGAGATTTTGATTGTAGGATATGTTGAAAGAGGGGATCAGGCTAAAGCCATTTATAGGAAATTATATTTCAGATATTGGCAGTTGAACTTAATGTATTCTATTCTCACTTCCAAAGGCTTTGAATTTTTAGTGTTATTTCTATTTTGAGGAGAGTGGCCTATGAGTACTTCTCATCCAATGTGTTCAATCCAAGGAGACTATAGGAGTTATTACTCTCCTCCTTTTTAAATTCTTTCTGTGTAACAGAGATTACCCACAGTTGGCTTGAGAGTTTTACGCCACAGTTTGGTAGAAAAAAGACCACTCAGCTGGAGGTCAGAGGCTTGGGTACCAGTGGTAGCTCTGACCCTTGCCATCAACTATGTGGCCCTGGGTAAGTCTCTAACCTCTCCTGGCCTCAGCCTCTTCAGATATAGGATGAACATATAATTCCTACATCTAGGAGTTGCTGTGTTGACTAAATGAAGTAATGCTTGTGTATCAGCTTTGCAAATTACATACCCCAAACAAATATATATTAAGATTTTATTTGCTGCAACAGAAGAAAGTGGACCATCTCTTGGTGTTTGTTTTGATGAGACTTGACCTATATAACACTGGCTCAAGTATGTTTGTTAAAGTGAATCACCTGTTGCTTTCTGGGCCATACGTGAAATGACGTGCCATGTTACAGTGAACCCCTTTTGCACCACCCCAAGTTCAGGTTGCCCTTACACAATTTGGGCGAGATAGATGAACACGCACCTTCCTCCTTCTTAGAAACAAAACAGTGACTTGGGTAGGGTAGACATTAGGAAAGTGACTTAGCTGGTAAATATGTGATTAATAATGGAGATTTGGCCTAAGCATGAGTGCGAGCCTCTGAATACGGATGGGTAAATGCTAAATAGCAAGTCTGCCAAGTTGAGCACATTGGGGAACCTCTTGGGCTCTGTTCATGCTTGAAGTATGACTGTGCCAATACTGTACTCGCTATTTAACAAAATGAGGTCATACCAATCACACTATTTTGCACGTATTTGTTTACACATCTCTTGTCTGCTAAGCTATGAGCTCTTTGAGAGCAGGGACTGTTTCTGTTTATCGTTGTTTTCTAGCATCTAGCAGAGTGCTTAGCATATAATAAATGTGTATTGGATGAATGAATGAACGAATGAAATTCTTTGCATTTTTATTCGGTTAGAGAGATTTTTTGAAAGGCATATATGTGGGATTATTTGTGCCATCATCTGCTAATTTCACAGATGTCTTCTCAACTGTAGACCTTCATATAAGGGAAAGACCTATTTACGCATAGTTGAGTTGCAGCTGCTGCTGCCCTGGCCTGATGGCACAGTGGTGAGGGCTGTCTCAATATCTGTCCCATGTCTCTTTCATAGAATAATACCCTCCCTCAGCCCCTTTTCCCTGTATCTTCCTTTCAAGGGTTGCTGTGTAGTTAACTCTGCCTCAGGCAATTTATCTTATCTGTACTTTTCTCTTCCTCATTCCTCTTCTCTTTTCCAGTGCTTGTCCAGTAACCTCAAGGAAATCTGTTCCAACGCTTCTTTGCTGTTGGTGTATTCCTATTCATGAGTTAAATCCCAAACAAAACATACTCTAATCAGGGCAGTCGAACTTGAAAAGAGTCAGTGAGAAATCTGAAAGGAGGAAAAGCCTGGCCACGAGGCTCCAAGTGAAATGAAAGCCATAAACACCAGCTTCGTCAACCTTGAAAGCTTCTAAAAGTGCCCCTAAGCCTCCTTTTGAATCACTAAAAGTTTTCACTTACCTCCCTGTCTTTCTCAAATAAAATTTCCTCTTTCTCAGCCATGAGTCTTAAAAAACAAAGCAAAACAAAACACTTCACACCTGCTTCTTATTCAGTTTTACACTAGTGGAAAGAGAACGGGATTTAGAGTTGGAAGGCCAACGTGAGCGTCCTGCTGCCACTTAGTAGCTGTGTGACTCTGTATAAGCTTCTAGGCTTTCTGTGCCTCAATTTCTTCAACCGTTGACAATATGACCGTGTATCATCACATAATACACTATGATGTGAAGTTTATGTAGATGAAGAACTCTTTCAAGCTCACAAAGCACCAGATACATGTCAGATATTTCTAATGTTACACCAGTTTTTAATATCATGTTTCATTTCACATACGGTACTTGATATCTCAATTACATTAGAGGCTAAGACAGTTTTCTACCAGCATGAGAACTGAAACACGATAGCATGCCTTTTATGGCGAAATGTGTTTGAACTTCAAACAACAAATATATAAAACTTATTATGCAATACACCCTATCAGCAAATTAATTGAAGGCTGCCTCTAGATTGTTAGGTGTGGATGACAGGAACTTTATTTCATACTTCTTTTGTACATGCCATTGCTGTTTAACAGTGTTGGGTTCATAACAGGTGATTAGACAGTCTTGTTGATAGTTTGGAGAACCATCTTAATCATGACCTAGAATCATTCTTATTTCACAGCAACCTGTGTCTTGACTAATGTTAAACTGACTAATTTGTTTTGAAGCTGAGAATGAGAAATTGGAGGTCCTTCTCATAGATCTGAGATTCCTTTTTATTCCTGAGTTGGATAAATTAGGGTAAACAAAATCAAATACTTGTAAAAATACTGTACAAAGGAATGACATATGTATGCTGGTTCCCTAGCAGGGTAATTCCATCAGCGCTTTAAAAAAAAAAAAAAAAAGATTACATTCCTTCTCAACCAGCCAAAGGAGCCATTTTCCAATCTCTTATCTTGTTGGGGTGTGTTAGAAAAATATACCAAGTGCAAGAACCTGTAAGCCTGGGGTTCATTAACCTGCTTAAAACCAGTTTTACTTCAAATAGGTGATCTTTAGTGTCAACCGTTGTACTTTTGTCTGCAGGGAACAACTCAAGTTTCGTCCTGTCCTCAGTAAGCAGATGAGAGGTAGGGTTGACGTTAGAAGCCAAGTTTTTGTGGAGCAATAAGGTAAAATAATGAAGGAAGCCTATAGAATTCCAGGAGAGTTTAAAGAAAACAGTAGAATACTTTCTTAGCAAGGGTATGGGTGGGCTTCTGAGTGGAGGAAGCAGGCTAGACCTTGGGATGTTCCAGTCCAAATTCTGTTTCGGAAGCTCCCTAAATGTATGCAGAGGTTGTGTAATTGTATTCATCACTGTTGAATGTATTATTGGTTTGATTTGGTTTCACTGCTCCTAAGTTCCTTTTGTCTTATCTTGCAAGCATATCACTCTGAGTACTTAAATCATTAACAACTCATTAAAACTCTTGACCATTTTCATTTTCTACCAAGCTGAAGCCTGGGTGTGGTGGAAACTTGTGCAGGCCTGCTTGGCTGTGCCGCAACTGAGCAGCTCCTAGCAGTTTGGCTGTCAAAAGGCCACTGAATAAACAAATTGATAGGAATGGCGGACATAATCTCTGCAGTTCCTTGAAAAGAAGGAAGGGGCTGCAGGATACAGGATAGTGAAGGATCCTTCTCTTCAACCTGAAGGACTCTTCAGCAATTAACACCTTGACTCTCTTTTTATGCAACACTTTTTTTTGTCCTCTCAGAGACTCTATTTGTACTTGGTCTTTTCTTCTTTCAGGATTTCTATAGCTTCTTTTAGAGACTCAAAGTGCTTCCAGTTTTGTTACCTCATTTATTCTCTAGGGGCAGGAATTAAGGTCTTGATGGAGATGAAGTGGTACATCACTTACTGGGCTGTGGAGGCAGTCTACAACAGGCAGTTGCAGCAGTTCTTCTGGTTATACGTTGAGAGAGAGATATATATGTACACATACATACACACACACACACACACACACACACACACACACACCTTACCTTATTTAGGATCTCCCAGAAGATAATTTTAAGTATTTGTAATTTCTATATATTTTAAATAGCTGATTTATGCCTCATAAGTAAAGAAAAAAAGGTTTCTCTGCTTTTGACTTGAATTGTTGAACTATTTGTCCCTTCGTAAACTGATCAATTGCCGTGCAGATTGAGAGAAAGCCATTCAATCAATCAAAATGTTTCTACTGCATTGGCATGCTTTGTAATGGAAATGAAAATGACAGCATGTTTTTGTCAGTTTAAATGAATAGGTTTCCTTTAGATCGATGCTGAAGTTGGTATTATAGGTATCTAGCCTATGAATGCTAATAATTAATTACGGAAATGCCTCATGGAAGCACTTGAACTTACCCCTGCATCTTACAGATATATCTGCCTGTTGGTGAAGTGTATGCCAGCGTTGACATTTCTTGTGAGTACTGGCATGACCCATGACACAGCCTCTGTGGTACCAGAGGGCCCTACACTGTCTTCAGAGACATTCAGTTCAGTGCATTTTAAAAAATTCATTCATTCAATCACTAATTCATTCATGTACTCAACACATGATTATGTATGCCTACTATGTACCAGGCTCTGGTCTGGTGCTAGAGATAGAGTTATTAACAAGACAGAGGAAGTCCCTGCTTTCATGGAGCTGTATTTTTTTTTTTTTTTGAGACGGAGTCTCGCTCTGTCGCCCAGGCTGGAGTGCAGTGGTGCGATCTCGGCTCACTGCAACCTCCACCTCCCGGGTTCAAGCAATTCTCCTGCCTCAGCCTCCCAAGTAGCTGGGACTACAGGCGCCCGCCACCACGCTCGGCTAATTTTTGTATTTTTTAGTAGAGATGGGGTTTCACCATATTGGCCAGGCTGGTCTCAAACACTTGACCTCGTGATCCGCTTACCTCGGCCTCTCAGAGTGCTGGGATTACAGGCGTGAGCCACCATACCCAGCCCAGAATGGTATTCTTAACGTATGGACTTAAAAGGAGCATTTGCAAGGAAGAGTGGCAGTGGCAGTATTGTATGGGGAGCTCTGATTCTCATTTATGCAAGATATGTAATGCCTTTCTAAAGAATAGTGTTGCTACTTACAGCTCGGGCTTGGAGATAAGACCCACTACTCTGCAGGTCCACTTGAACTTCTTTGTAAGCCCACTTGAACTAATCTGGAAGAGTTTCAAGCTTTGGTACCCTATTTGCCAACAGCTGGGTACAAAACCACCTATTGGGTATGATTTTAGGGCTATTGTCAAGGTCCCTGAAGGTGGATAGGCTGAAGACATCTCTTCTACTGGTAGCTTTATCTCTTTAAAACATTCTTTTATTGTATCTCACTCAAAAGACTAGCTGTTTATTTATACTTTAGTATGAGATTCCATTTGTTTCTTTACAAGGTTTTGATAAGGGTCTAAGACTACTAGATGCCAGTTTAGTGAGGGAGGGCACTCTGGGGGAAGTAAGCAGGTATATGGGGCTAAAATCAAAAGGTTGAAGCACCTCCAGTTGGACCTACTTAACAATTTTGCTTAGCCTTGAACTCTTGGCCTCTCTGATAATTAGTTTTCTAATTTTTTTTTTTTTTTTAGACAGAGTCTTGTTCTGTTGCCCAGGCTGGAGTGCAATGGCGTGATCTCAGCTCACTGCAACCTCTGCCTCCCAGGTTCAAATGATTTTTGTGCCTCAGCCACCCCGGTAGCTGGGATTACAAGCGTGTGTCACCATGCTCTTGTAATTTTTGTATTTTTAGTAGAGACAGAGGTTCGCCATGTTGAGCAGGCTGGTCTTGAACTCCAGGCCTCGAGCAATCCACCTGCCTCTGCCTCCCAAAGTGTTGGGAGTACAGATGTAAGTCATCATGCCCGGCCTCGTTTCCTAATTTTAAAAATGAAATTGTTGGAGTAGATCATCACAATCCCTTTTAGTTAAGTCTGCTCACTGGGTAGATTTGTACCTAACTGCCCAACTGCCCAGGCTTTGGTGTTTTTCCCCATTCTGTGCTTTGGTGAGGAGATCCTGCGTTTTCTTTCCGTTTCCTTTGCCAGAAAGAGCTCCCTGTGGCAACATAGAAAATATCAACTCACTGATTTCCCCAGAAAGGGAAGAGTCCACAGCTTCAGAATGGTATCTGCCCTGGTGTCTGCATTCTGGTCAGGCGGCTGCGTTCAGCGTCTGTGCTCCCGGGCTGGGGTGCTTATCTGTAGTAGCCAGACGGCCTGGGCGCTCACAGTAAGTTAGGTTTACATAGTGGAGAGGTGAGCAAGCAGATAGTCTGAAGCAAGTAGACAGAACACTCCAGTCAAGGTTTTCCAGAGGAAAGATTTTGAACCATCGTCAATTAAATAAAACAGAATCTTCTCAAGATCACCAGAAAATACATAGCCAGGGAGATCCCAAGTATTGTGGAACCAAGCTAATTATAGTTACCTCCTATTTGCTTAGCATTTTGTGCTTTTAAAAATGGGTCTTATTTCATATCTCATCTGATCTTAAATATCCTGTGAGCTAAGCAGGTCAGAAATTATCATTATTATTATTTTTTGAGACAGAGTCTCACTCTGTTGCCCAGGCTGGAGTACAGTGGCATGATCTTGGCTTACTGCAACCTCCACCTCCTGGGTTCAAGTGATTCTCCTTCCTCAGCCTCCCAAGTAGCTGGGATTACAGGTGTGTGCCACCATGCCCGGCTAATGTTTGTATTTTTACTAGAGATGGGGTTTTGCCATGTTAGCCAGGCTGGTCTCGAACTGATCTCAGGTAATCCACCAGCCTCGGCCTCCCAAAGTGCTGGGATTACAGGCATAAGCCATCTCACCTGGCCAGCAGGTCAGAAATTAGTAATCCCATTTAAAATATGAGAAAACTGAAGCATTAGGTAGGCTAAGTGACATGGCCAAGGTCACACAGTTAATAGGGCAGGATCAGAATTTAGAATGCATGTTTTTTCTTTTAAAAACAACTTTATTCAGGTATAATTTATGTGCAATAAAATTCACTATTTGAAACCTATAGTTCAATGAGTTTTGACAAATGGTATATACTTGTGTAGCCACAATTATAATCAATAGGTTGAACATTTCTATCACCCCAAAAAGTCCCTTCACGGTCCTTGGCTTTAATCTTCCTCTTTCCTTCCCCAACTCCCCCTGTCTTTTGATGTCTAATGCAATGCTCTTTTCACTGTCCCACACTCGGACTTGACAGCCCTTCAGCCATATCCTTCTGGAGAGAGTCCTGGCTGGCAGCCAGCCTGCCTCATCATGTTGAGTTATGAGAGTGAATGGGAAGTTAGTGGGTTGCTTACTCCATTGTTAGTTCCTTCCTTCCCTTCTTTTACCAGCTCCAGGCTATAGAAAAATTATGTGGGTTCTCCTTCCCAGGAGAGCTTGAAAAACAGGACAGCAGCTCACCTGTCTGCTCTTGCTTCCTGGTAGCCTGCTGCTGGGGAGGGGTGGGAGTGAGCAGGAGGTGGTGGGGTGGTGGACTAGGCGACCTCTAGAGGATGCTCTACTTCTGTATCGTCTGCTCAGTCTCGATCTCCTTAGAAACCAGCTAGCTCTCTGCTGCCTAGTTGCAGTTCCCCAAGGCTTTAAGCAGTCTGAATTCCATATCTGATGAATGAATCCCAAAGGTGTTGAAGATCCCAGTTCTGAAAAATGAGCAAACCCCAAGTTTTATAATAGAAACTTTCATAGCAGATCGGGTCCTAGACAGATCCCTCCCTCTGTAACTGAGTTAGGTTTTGAGGGGAGATATCCCCCATTATACTGTTCCTAAATCCTAGATTTTGACTGTAGTGTTCGGGACATTCCGGAGAGTCACATTGTTTACCCAGGTGCTGGACCAGAGTTGCTCCCCGGCGTTGCTGTGTGGCATCCAGCAAAGGCAGGTTGGGAGCCTGCTCCTTTTCATAGCCAGCTTTGCCTCCATACCAGCAAGATGGAAGATAGGTGCCTTCACTAAGCCCCTCAGGTGGCCACAGGATATGATCCAGAATGGTGGTCTCTACTTTTCTATTTGCTCCTATTTAGCCACCCAGTTTGGGAGTAGCCCTGTGTATTATGATTATCTCTTTCATTCATTTTGGGCTATTTGAGTTTTTAGGGCCCTTTCCTATCCATTATCTCCTGTTCTCAATAAGTCTGATATCTTCTGTTAGAGTAAAAGCTCCATCTCCTCTGATCTAAGACAGCTGCAAGGACAGGACAGACTCAGATTTCTTCTCTGCAAAGGCTCCTGTTAAATCTTGGGCCCTATGGTATTGATTTTCTTCTAGTTATCTCTACAAATTTTTCTGGCTTTGCTGAAGGGGGAAAAAATCACCAGACTGCATGCTTGAGCTTCAGGTTTCTCCTTAGCTGGCAGCCTCAACCAGAAAAAAATTCTATTTGAGAGCACTGAGCCTCAGGCACTGGTTTTGCCCTGTACTCCCCAGTGTCTAACTCTTAACAGCTGGTGGCCATCCCTGGCCTCCATCTTTACTTTGCTGCATACCTCAGCTTGATGAGTCCTTGATGTTGACTCCTTGACCTTACTGCCATCTTCTTTCCCCTACAGGGGCCTCTTGAACTATGGGGAGCTTAGAAAACAGTGGGCTTCCTGTGTTTTGTCTACCAGCAAAGCTGGGTACCTGAATCCCCATGTGACAGTGCTGCATGGCTGACTCCAGTATTCTTCGGGAGACACAGTAGCAGGAACAGAGACTTAGTTGAAAGCCCCAAGTGTGTATATCTGAAGTGTTTGTACAAAGATGGGGGCAGAGAGCTGCTCATGTCTGCAAAGAGGGACAGTCCCACTTTTGCAGAGGTGACAGTCCACAGCAATGCTGTCTCTTCCATTTCTCATTGGGGTTAGGTTTCCAAAGGTCCATGAAGGTTTTATTCGTTTTCGTGCCCCAAGAGAGCTTTCCATAGTAATGAAAGAAATGTTAAGAACTGCAGGAAATGGGTAAGATTATAGATGGCCAAAGAAAGTGGCAAGGAACAAAAAAAGACAATGTATTTTAAAGGAAAACTTTTTGGAGCTATTTCATGGATGCTGCTGGTCACCTGGGGAAATCTTGGATTTATTTGACAGTTCCCATTTTCCACTTAGGCTTCATGTATACATGGGTTTGGGAGCTAGGAAGGGGAATAATACCCTCCCCAAAGAGCTGTGGCTGAGCTCCCAGTCCCCAGGACCAAATTGAGCTGTTGCAGCTGGGAAGCAGATTGGTGCAGCCCTCCCCAAAATGCTCACAGCCCTGTGGTTATTTCCTGTCTTTTTCCCCTTGTATATTCCCCTTTGCAGCTTGTATCTTCCTCTTTGCAGCTTGTATCTTCCCTTTCTACAGGAAATCTCAGCCGCCTAGCCCATGGGCCTGGTTGGGCTGCTGTCTCCTTCCTTTATTCTTCATAGCCCTTAATCACTTCTCATTAGTGGACTCCCTGGGAGGGAGGGAAGAAGGGTTTTGTTCTGATGCCGGCCTCCTGGAAGGGCTGTATCCCACCAAGACAGATGGCTGCCTAGCCTATTTTTAACTGTCTCTGGGGAAGAAGATTCCACAACCTATTTTGAAACCTGTTTCATTGATTGACAGCTTTCCAATTAGGAATTTCTTGCTGATACCTGACTTAAAATTTGACAGCTATAGTTGAAACTCATTTCCTTTTGTTTCTTTGAAATCATAGAGTTTGGGAAAGAGAGGGATTTTAATTAGAAGTCGTCTAGGCCTACCCCTAATGAAGAAAATAAGTTGAAGTTGAAACTGAAAATGCCTCCTCATCCTCTCATTGAGGATCCCATCAGTTTTGGGATCTGCCTTTGAAATCACACATTTGGGTACCATTCTGTAAGAATCAATTTAATTTTCAGGGGAAAAAAAGTGTTCTGGAGCTGGAAGTTTAGAGCGCAAGTAAGTCGTTAATACGACTTACTCTATTTTGTTTGTAGTGAGAAAGTTAAATGGTGCTTATAGAATTACCTTGCCTCTATTGGCAGAGAGTAAAAATAAACTGAGCTCTCAATATACAAAGACTTCCCCAGTTCTTTTCCTTTCGCTCATATCAATGCCTGTCTTTAAAGAAAAAAAGAGGGTTATTTTTCTCTCCTCCATCAGTGGGATTCTCTGTATTTTAAATATCTTTTTTAAGACTAATGTCAGGTGACTCAAATTCCACTGAAGTCTCTCTTTTTAGTTGTCTTTCTGCCGCTGCAGACTTCTCTTGACATGAGACTCTGTGCTGCTTCTCTTGACAGACTGCATCTCGATGGCAGAACACTGGTAAGAAGCTAATGATGTTGGTTCCGTTTCAGTGTGTGGAATCTTGTTATGTGGTATAGAAGTCCAGCATTCTAGGCGAATAAACCGAAATGTATTAGACTGACTATAAAGGGGTCTTGGGAAGGGATCTTACTCCTCTTTGATAGTTGGTACTTGTACCTTTTCTCAACACCTGCGACATTTTCTTTTTCCAGAGATAGCATCGCATGTCAAGGTGGAACATCAGATGCTTGGATCAACCAATGAGTTGTATCCAGACCTGTGACCAAAACTGAGGTGGCATTTGGGATATCATTCACCTTTTGGTCTGTGCTTCAGGCCATGAGTAGTTAGTGTATAGCGCATGTTCACAGGCATTAGCATCTCAGTCTTTTGAAATATGGCTAAAATTTAGTATTCCACCTGCACTTGATCTACTTGAGAAGTATTTAACAGGTCTATTTTATAAAATCCCAAGGCAGCCTTTTCTGCTACCTGCTTGGATTGGGCTGCATGAATATAAACTCATTTTGCTATCAGCCTGAGAAATAGGCAGGTATACTGGAAACACCTTCTTATCTGGGGCAATTGGACTAGTAATTGGTCAGTTAATTCCAAAAGTCAGTTAAAACAGAGAGTCTTTAAAAACGAAGACAAAACTGTTCTCAAGCATTTTATTTATTTTAATTTTTTTTTGAGACAGGGTCTCTCTATTATTGCCCCAGCTGGTCTCTAACTCCTGGGCTCAAGCCATCCTACAGTCTCAGCCTCCTGAGTAGCTGGGATTACAGGCACATGTCATCATCTAGCTAGCATTTTATTTTAACTTAAAAATATGTAAATGCCAGCCTGGCCAACATGGTGAAACCCCACCTCTACTAAAAAAAAAAAAAAATACAAAAATTAGCTAGGTGGGTGGCAGGTGCCCGTAATCCCAGCTACTCGGGAGGCTGAGGCACAAGAATCTCTTGAACCCGGGAGGCAAAGGTTGCAGTGAGCCGAGATCACACCACTGCACTCCAGTCTGGGCGACAGAGCCACTGCACTCCAGTCTGGGCGACAGAGTGAGACCCTGTCTCAGAGGGGGGAAAAAAAAGTGAATGTACACGTATTCACAAATCTTTTTATGTGGGCCAGGGCTTTTTCTTAAAGTGTGGATCTTTCAAGTAGAGTTCAGTTGACTTTCTTTCATAAATTATACACTTAACATTTGATCTGTGATTTCCAGTTTCAGTTTAAGTGAACCAAGTTCTTAAATACATTTGAGAAATGAAGGGCAGAATTCTTCCAGATTTTTAAGCTCCACCACTACAACCTTTTACTGTTGTCTTGCCCATATCTAATTCAGCAGCAATTTTTTTTAGCAACTTGCCTTCAAATTTCTTCCAAGCATTCAACCTCTTTTTCATAGAAATAACTTTTTTTATACTCATATTTCACTTGTTTGTATTATATAATAATTTAATATGTAATTAAAATAACAAGTATACCTAGCGTGAACTAACTACTGACCCTGAAGCAGCCAACCTGGCTGGTGGGAGTAGATGTGAGTAATACACAACCAGCCTCCAGTGTGCTATGCAACTCAGCCAGTTTATTTTGAAGAGAAGTTGGTATGTCACATAAGCTGGCAAGTCAGTTAAGAAAGTATCACCCGTATGTTTCTCTCCTTTTTGCCTCTACTGATTGCTATGGGATTTTTATCTTAGCACCTGTTATCATAATTCCTCTATTAAACTATAAGCTTTTGGATGGCAGGGCCCTTTTCTTACTTATGTGTGTATCTCCAGTGTCTCCTGATATAGTGTCTGGCCTATAGTAGGTGCTCAGAAGTACTAACTAGACATATATATGTCTTAGTTCAGTGCTATATATTTGTTGGTGCCAAACAGCTCTTTATTGAATAGATGGATATATGTATGTATTACTGCACATAATGTACTCAAAATCCAAATGAGAACCTATAGAGTATCTATTTTTTAGGATTTTTGCCATACTGGTTCCTTGTGTTTGCATGAAAAACTGAAAATTGACTGTGGAGCTTTTAGGCTTGGGTTGGAACAATATGTATTTTAGAAAGATTACTCTCTTAATAATAACTACAACTCATTCTTAGAATAATAAAAATCATATCAGTACTAAGTAATATTTATCAACTGCTTACTGTGTGCCAGGCAGTATGCTAAGTGTGTATGTTATCTTAGTTCATATCTACAGCCCTGAAAGAAGACACAACAAGGCATGTTGTGTTATTATTTCCATTTATAGATGAGGTCTCTTTGGGAGCCAGCAAGGAGGTGGTACAAGGTCTAATCTTTGAACAGTTGAGAAATGGGTAGTTTGTTTTCATAGTGCTGCTTCTTATTTTCAAGGTTGAGGGCCCTTCTAGGCGAGGTGAAAGGAACCCTTAAATCTAGAGACTGCCTAGAGGGAGAAACTGACACTTACTTTTGGCTTTCTGGGAACCAGGGTAGGTCCTCTCTTAATTGAAGAGAATTAATAGGATCCTGTGGCTGGGCATTGGGCAGAGTGTTTGAATAGCTGCTGACCTTGGTAGGTAAAGCCAAAGTGGCAGTGAAAACAAGCTACTGTGGGACATTAGACCCTGCCTGTCACTTTTCTTCCCAGGCCACTCACTTGTTGGAGGGCCCTTCTGAAACTCCTCTTGCTCTGTAGTCTGGATGCTTGTGAACAAGCTGCTTGCAGGTGCCGAAACAAACAGCAGTGTGGGTCTCAGGGCCTGGGCTTGGAAGCTGGGCAGAGGGTGGAAGGGCTCCATTTGGGAGCAGTGTTGATGGAAGTAATTTTTCTAGCTGAGGTGTGAGGTTGGTTCTGAGCTGAATTTAAGAGAAGGCTATGGTCTTTTGTCCTTCCACACTTTTGGGACCCAGCAGATACTACAAATGCAATCTTTACAAACCCACTCACTGCCAGAAATGAATCTAAAAAAGTGCTAGTCTGTGGGCCTCTTGGTCAGGAAGGTGACAGCAGTGGCAACAGCAGAAAAACCAATCAAACAAACAAAATGCCTGTGGGCTGGCAAACAGAATTTCTTTGCAAGGTTAATTCTGAATGTCAGACTCTTTCCTTTTTTGTAGGTTGGAAGGAGGCAGCAGCAAAGGGAAAGAGATAGCAGTTGGAGGCCACCTTCTTTAGTCCCCCTTCCCCAAAGAAGAGCCGTAGCTAGTATTGTGGTTGGCATTAAATTGATATAAAGACACCCTGGCCTGGAAGTTAAAAGAAAAGTTTTTTTTCTTTCTTTTTTGAGACAGAGTCTTCCTCTGTCGCCCAGGCTGAAATGCAGTGGCATGATCTTGGCTCACTGCAACCTCCGCCTCCTGGGTTCAAGCAGTTCTTGTGCCTCAGCCTCCCGAGTAGCTGGGACTACAGGCATGCGCCACCATGCCCGGCTGATTTTTATATTTTTAGTAGAGATGGAGTTTCACCATGTTGGCCAGGCTGGTCTTCAACTCCCAACCTTAGGTGATCTGACTGCCTCAGCCTCCCGAAGTGCTGGGAATTACAGGCATAAGCCATTGCTCTCAGCCAAATGAAAAGATTTTTGATGTACTTTTTAGCCAGAGGGAGTTTATGCTGCTGTGTGGCCAGTTTTTCCACATGTCTGCAACAGTTACAATTTTTGACAGATATCTTGAGAAGATTATAGATTTTGATAGAGGCAGTAAATTTATTAGCAAGACTGATTTCATGTTAGAATGAAATCTCTGGGTCTTTTTCGGATTACTTTATGTTCCTTAAAAAGAAAGACATTGGGCCAGGCACGGTGGCTCACGCCTGTAATCCCAGCACTTTGGGAGGCCAAGGCGGGCGGATCACGAGATCAGGAGTTCGAGACCAGCCTGACTAACATGGTGAAACCTTGTCTCTACTAAAAATACAAAAAAATTAGCTGGGCATGGTGTTGGGCGCCTGTAATCCCAGCTACTCAGGAGGCTGAGGCAGGAGAGCTGCTTGAACCCGGGAGGCAGAGGTTGCAATGAGCTGAGATTGCACCATTGCACTCTAGCCTGGGCAACAGAGTGAGACAACGTCTCAAAAAAAAAAAAAAAAAAAAGACATTGACTGGTCTTGGCAGTCTTTGGGTTTTATTCTGAACTGTGTAGAGTTGGCCAACTCAGGAATTCTAGACTAGGGGGAGAATTTTGCAGTGCTTTTGAGCATGTCTGTGT
Source organism: Homo sapiens (assembly GCF_000001405.40). Lineage (NCBI taxonomy): Eukaryota > Metazoa > Chordata > Mammalia > Primates > Hominidae > Homo > Homo sapiens. The sequence continues at coordinate 206,240,401 of NC_000001.11, forward strand.
AAATGTGCTGTACTCGTCACTATGGAATGGTTCTCCAGTTTGGCTGTAAACTCATGGAGCTGGCTCCTTGAAATGCTAGCGTCCTAGCCATGCACGCATGCAAGCAAGCAGAATTTGTTCACGCCTAGGCCATATGTGGATGTCACTCTTCTTTAGTTTCATATCCAGTTTCTGCTTGCCTGAGCTAGAAATGAAGTCATCCAGCACTCACAAAACCTCTGGCCTTAGAGGCTTAAAAACAAAAACAAAACAAACATAGCAACTATCCCATACCACCTTAGTGAGGTGGATATTATTGTCCTCTTTTCAGAAGTGAGGAAACTAAGGCTCAGAAATTAAGATACGTGCTCATGGTAACACAGGTCCTAGGAACTGGGATCCAGGATCCCAAAGTCTGCCTCTAAAGCCTATGCTTTTCCCATAGGGCTGCTGAACCTGACCTTTGCACTTTGCCATTTATGTTACTTCTTCCATTCCTTGGAAGTAAATTGAAATGGGTTTGGGTTGGCGCTGTGGCTCACACCTGTAATCCCACCACTTTGGGAGGCTGAGGTGGGTGGATTGCTTGAACCCAGGAGTTCGAGAGCAGCCTGGGCAACATAAGGAGACCCCATCTCTACAGATAATTTAAAAATTAGCTGGACTTGGTGGCACCCACCTGTGGTCCCAGCTACTTGGGAGGCTGAGGCAGGAGGATCACCTAAGCCCGGAAGGTCGAGGCTACGGTGAGCTGTAATCATGCCTCTACACTCTGGCCTGGGTGAAAGAGCAAGACCCTGTCTCAAAAACAAGCTAACAAAAAACCCCCTAAAAAACAAAAGAAATGGGTTTGAGAGAGAAGAAGAGAGAGAAACTTAACTGTGGGTGTTCATAGTTAGGTACTCGTGGAGGACCACCTACCATCAGACGGGAGTGGCTAGCCCTTGTTTTCATTTATGCAGACAGACTTCCTTTTCTACCTCTGCTGGTTATACCAGGTACAAATAGGGATGCTGCAGTAGAGCAGAGGAGCTAAACGTGGCTTCCTCTGACTTACATAATAAAATAAGAATCTCCCCAATGGCCCTTTCCTGTCTGCTGGTCTCTGTGATGAAGTGGGCCACCCTAGGGACAGCTTCACTTAAGGGCCTCCCCAGGGTTATCAGGTCCACAAAGGGTCTTGGGATCAAATGTACAGCTAAATTGATGAGATCAATTCATTAAGATAAAGACTTCTACTTCCGAAGCAGTATGGTGCTTGGGTCAGTGTCTCTTTAGAAATTAATGTATAGATAAAATATTTCATATTAGGGAGAGCTCTGTGCTGCCCTTTCCCAAAGCTTTGGTTATTTGATGGGAGGGAAAGTCTTCTCGAACCTATGTCAGAATATTCCGCTTTGAAAGATGAGGGTTTTTCTTGAGGCTAGTTTTGTACCTGCTGTTTCTTTTAGAAATGATTGCTCTATGGATTTAAAAGGTGACCCAAATTACTTTTTTATTATTATTATTTTTTAATGCTGGGAGGTGTTTGCGTGTGTGTGTGTGTGTGTGTGTGTGTGTGTGTGTGTGTGTGTTTTATCTCCTTCAACTCTGACCACCTGGAAGTCAGCCTAATCTCTGCCCTCGTGTTGATCTTTAATTCAACATTTAATTACCTATCTTGGTATCCATATGAATTTGATTGTTTTTTTGGCTTTTTTTGAACTCATAAAAGGTATCCAAGTTCCTGGAGGGCATAGTGCCCATCTCCTCCCATCCACCAGTAGACATTCTTTTCCAAAAGACACATGGCAAGTACCCCTCACACCTGAGCTGTGGTGGTTTGGGTTTGTCCCCTTTGCTTTTGTTTGCAGAACACCTTTTACTCCTTTTGCACTTGATGGTTCTGTTGTACTTGTAAGGAAAATCAGTTGAAATAAAAAGATATTAAATTGAGAGACAAAAAGATGCTGCCACACTCCCAGTTAGAGGCAGACTTTAGTCTATATTTTCAGATTTATTTTGATTATAAAGTGTAGTCTCCCCCCGCCACCCCCTGTCTGCTTTTCTTTGTAGTTCTGTAATCAGGAGTCTGTTATTCTCTTTCCAATGCTATAATTAATAGTCTGGTCTAAAATATAAAAACCTCAAAGTTATTAATGGAAATGTCACTACTCACCTCATTTTTACAGAGGCCGCTTGGCCTCTAAGTCATTGAGTCTTTGGACAAACATCATTTAGCATTGACTATGTGCAAGAACTGTGCTGTATGCTGGGGATTTAAAGACAAAGAAATACAGTTTCTGCCTCTGAGCGTGCATCATCTCACTGGTGAGGCTCACATACAAACAAACAGGCAGAATTCAGTGTAATTGAGAAATGTTGTAATTGAGTTATATATAGGGTTCTTATTTTGCACGTCTCTGTAGAGTAGTAGTTTCCATACTGTGCGGTATTTGCCTGTTCACTTGCCTGTTCCTTTGTGAGCTCTCGAGGGCCAGGAACAAATATGGATATAAACATGGAACCATGAGCGAATAGATGTTTCTTATCAGTGCTCGGCCTGTCTTACGAGGTGTTCCATAGTGGAACCACCTGGGAAACAATTGATTTTGCATTCTTGTTTGTTAGCTAAATGCCTGATTTGCTTTTTAGGATTCTTTTAGGTTAAATCATATGAAATTACCATTTTGTTGATAATTTCACATGGTTCCATGTAATAAAAAGAGATCAATTTTACAGACTTCTGGTTTTAGGTCATGCACAGAGGTGAAGTTCTGCACAGGTACTGGGCATCCTATATGTATTTCCACTAGGTTACTATTTCCGAGTGTGAGTCTCTATTTGGAACTTCAGAGAGGGAGCCTGTGGCCCAGCTACTCCTGTGTCACTCAGCTCTGGAGTGGAATTCTTCTAGGTAGTGCCTGTTTGTAGACTGGACAGGGAATAAAACCACTACTCTGTACCCGTTTATAAATATTTGCATTTACCTTGGAGAATGTACAAGACCCGGGCTTCATGCGTGTGTGAGAGAAAATAGCAAGTGAAAAGGATGTGTACACAGCAGCATGAATGGGGTGCTATTCTTAGCTGGGTCTCTAACCTAGAGAACAGGAAACAAGATGCTTCTGAATGTGGACTATGGCTGCCCCTATGCTAGAGCCAAGAGGCTTCGAGTCATAGGGAAACTCATGACAGTTGCTAGTGTCCTTCAGACCTTCCTCTTTTGTAGAAAGTTTCATTCTTTGTGTGTCTCAGACTGAGATGGAGGAGGGGTGACTCTCTTTTCTAAGGGATCTAGAGAGAAAGGGCAGATGTAGTCTTGAGCAGTGGGCTTCTCAGCTGTGCTGCTTCTTCCATGGAGACCATCTGGATCTACTCGGTTGATGGAGCAGCTCCTCTCATTCTGAGTGGGTTTAGCATTTGAGAAATAGAGGGGCACCTTGGCTGACTGGACTAAACCTTCTTTGGCAATTTATAATAAATGCTCTCTGATTTATTGTTTATTCTTTCACATTGAGGTTGAACCTGATTTGCCTTTGAAAGTTAAGAGCAGGACTAGGACTAGAACTAGAAATGCCTGATGTATACTGTAGCACACAGTGGAGCGTTGTCCACTTTTTAGTCACTTGGTGACTACCGATTAATTGATTTGAATATATCAATGTCTGGCAGTTGGACCAATTACTCAGCTTCCCAATCTGATGGTGTGGTTGATAGAAATGTTTCCTGGTGGCATTTTCCCACAGGATTAGGATGGTGGTGGCATTAGCCAGGATCTCTTTTGTCACTGCCACTGTTACTGAATGATCTGTATTTTGAACTTTCTTGACTTAGTATAGTATTATACATCCAGCCCTTACCCTAAATGCTTATTATTTAATATTGACAACTTACAGATTAATGTTTTAAATCTTTTTTTTTTTTTTTTAAGGCAGAGTCATGCTCCGTCACCCAGGCTGGAGTGTGATCTCAGCTCACTGCAACCTCTGCCTCCCAGGTTCAAGTGATTCTCCTGCCTCAGCCTCCCGAGTAGCTGGGATTACAGGCGCCCGCCACCACGCCCAGCTAATTTTTGTATTTTTAGTAGAGACGGGGTTTCACCAGGTTGGCCAGGCTGGTCTCAAACTTCTGACCTCAGGTGATCCAACTGCCTCGGCCTCCCAAAGTGCTGGGATTACAGGTGTGAGCCACCACGCCCGGCAAAACAGCATATCTTTAATTAGAACCCAACACGAGATGGTATTTCTTCAAAGAGGGCCTGAAATTGTGGTATTACCTCCAAGCGAACTTTATGAAAGGGATCGGGTCTGTATATAAACCATTTAATTTTTCCATTTCTCTAAATGGGAAAAAAAATTTGTTTTTGTTTCTTTTTTACTCAGAACACCAAGCCCCTTCAGCCACCTCAAAAGAGGTTATAGCCAGGGCGCCCCTCTTAGAAGAAAAGACATTTTTTTTTTTCCTTAAGATTGGTGCATGGAAGCTTAGAGCCTCATTTCACCACCTCTCCTGATTTGATATAGATTTATGAGAAATGAATATAGGGAAAATACTGGCTGTAGACTTGACAACTGTTAACTTGGTGAACAGCATGTTCTTGTTTATGTTAACTGTGTACTTTGACTGTTCAAGATCCCCATTACTTTTCACTTGTCATGCCACATCATTGCTGCAAGTTAGCCTCCTTAGATGAGATACATGGCAGTTAGCTATCTTCACCTGATGGGGAGGAATAGGGTAGAGAAAATAATGTGACCAGCTGTTGTCAGCTTCTCTGTGGAAGTGGTAACCATGTCAGAGCCAGGCCCTGGAGACCTGGCTTGGAAAAGAATGAAGTTTTCCTACTAGGAACTTCTGTAGAGCCCTAGACCTTTCCATCTTAGTGCCGAGTTAAATGAGTCACGTAGCCTTCAGGTAAAGTCATTTCCAAGGGATTGTGAGAATGTGCCCAGGTTGGTTTGGACTGTGTCACACTTACTTGTACTGGCTTATCTTTGCTACTAATTTTTTTGTGTGTGTTATTGTTTTTCTAACTATTGTTGATGATTTGAGTGATGCGAAAGATTTTGATGATGGTAACTTTCTATAAGAGATGTAGAAGCAAGAGGCCCAGAGAATTGATCTTGCCCTTCATCTGACACATTGTGACCAGTTTGTTGAAGATGATAAGGCCTGGAATTGTCACTTCGAATGTCTTCTTAATCTGGGAAATTTGAAGAGGTCTGCAGCAGGGAGGCTGGTCAGGGAAGTAACTTTGCAAAATAAAATCTTCATACTGATGCAATCCCAGAGAACTTGCCTTTGGGTTTGTGATTGCAAAGTGTTGAATCAGTCTTTGGTGTGGATACAGAATATTTGAAGCTAGTTGAAGTGTAGGGGTGTTGGGACAGGAGAAATGATGAGATGAAGTCTTATCAGAGGCTGAAGGTCACCGGATATTTTCCTAGTAAAGGTTCCTTTGATGTGGAATTTATCCGTTTAGCCCACCTAATTGGAGTTATCTGGTTTCTGTCCCTGAAGATTCTGCTGTTGGCCCTGGACTACTTAATTCTGTTTGCTCACCAAATCGGTGACATAAGTTACAAGTTATGAGATTTAATGTTTAGAGTATGGTTTTGGATTATAGGTTCCTTGCATTCTTAAGTTAGCAGAAGGAAACCAAGAGAAGCAGCATGGTACAAACAAAACCCCAAACAAGTGCTAATGTCAGAGAGACCTGGGTTCAAATCCTAGCTATGCCACATATAAGTTTTATCATGAGAGTAAATTGCGTAATCTCCCAGAACCTCAGTGTTCTTGTTGCTAAATGTGCACAAAATAACTGGCTATCTTATAGAGACGTTGTGAAGTTAGAGTGAGTGAAGGTGACATGCCTAGTAAGGACCTGGCACGTAGAAGCACACAATCAGCTTTAACTGTTTCTGTTATTAGCAGTGGACTTAGCACTGTATAAATCTGTCCCTCCATGCTTCCCACTTGCCCATTTGTCAAATGGACTTGACATTCCTTACTCAGTGGTTGACAGGGAGCCAAGTGAGATATCTGAGCTGTTGAGGATGGATGTGTATCTCAAGATCCTGGCATTCAGACTGGGGCTCTACAAGTCGCACTATATTTGCAAGTTGTAGCAGAACTATATTAAAAACATGCCCTGCCTGTTTCCCCTCGTTGGTCCTCCCATTCAGAGAGGGGCTTTCTGGCCTTGTGCTTTAAATAGTCCTCAGACGGTAATGTGGATAGTAGATGAACACAATTCTTGTGAATCCATTTGCCTTGTGCTTGGGAGTTCTATTCTTAGACCACAATCACCGGAATAGAAAGCCTCCGACCCCACATCCGAACTGAAGCCATGTGGGCCTGGCTAATGGATTTCTTTGGGAAGCTGGGACAAAGGACCGGGTCTGCTTCTGTCATTGACTAGGCCAGGTATGGAGCAGTCCATTAGAAACCAGTCTCCTCCCAATTGTCTGGAGTTTATGAGCCTGGCTTACCTGGGATCATTTTCATGTTATGATCCTAATTAAAGTTCAGCCTGTTTACTCTGCTCCAGTCAAGGAGTTACAGGGGGAATCAAGGCAGATAAGATGTTTATGGGTGAACCCTGTTTCATTTTCCTCGGATCCACAATTAAAGAATTAACAGCACTTGTTATTTATTGAGCAGAACCGTGGGAGGGAGGAGGGCTTTATTGCTTGTTTTGCTGCTTCTGTGAGCCCAGGGCTGCGCCAGCAGCATTTCACTTTTAATCCTTAGTATTGTTAGGCCTATACTTCCACCTATAGAGGTGGCAATTGAGGATCTTGACTTGCCCAGGGGTTCATGATCACGAACCTTCTACTACTTCATACCTTGAACACCATCTCTTCTAATAGATGGGCAACAGTATGGTCATTTCTGTGAAGATACTGGTGACTTAAAAGCATTACTAAATGTTTATTAAACACTTGAATATAGTAATTATATATGTGAGAATGGATTCACATCTAGGGCTCCTGACAGTATCTGTCAAGATGCTGGCCCCAAACCCTGAGTTTGTCATGTTATGTGGGCATATTTGGTTGCCCAACTCTGAAGCCAAATGATGCCAGGGAGAGGGAGCCTCCATACTGTGGGGGTGTTTCTAAGAGCAGCCTGGTCCTTAATTATCCTACTAAAGACAGTGTCCTCTGTGATCTCAGCCTCATAACATCCCTGTTAAGATAGGAGGGGGCTGAAATCATTTGTTCTCCTTCACATTGAGGGGAGACTCAGGCACAGATGAGAGACAGAGGCAGAGAAGTTAAATAATTAGTCCAAGGTCACATCAAATGATTTCCAACTCAGCTGATGAATCTGTCTAGGTCTCGGTCTCCAAATATTGCAGCTTCCCTTACAATGTAATTTGATCTCAAACACTTTACGTGTCTTATTTTTCTTCCTCCTTTTTCTATTTTGGTAAATAAGATGTTTTTTACACCTACTGCCAGATTAATGTTGGGTTTTAATTTAGCCCTTCAAGATGATCAATGACTTAACCGAGGAAACTGCTGCCAGAATGTAGTTTATAATGTACCTTTTTTCCTATACTCGGTTTTCTGCTTCTGTATTTTGTACATTGTCAGTCTCTGTGGGTTAAGAACTTTGGGACTCTCAAGGGTCATCTTGACAGAGGAGCTTCTGCAGTTGGGAATTGTTACCTTTCTCAGAGCAGTGCTATTGGGAAAAAAAAATCTAGGCATTTTTGTTCTCAGCTTCACAGAGGAAGTGAAGCACATTCAAGGGTAGCCCATTGGCTTCTCGTATAGGAATAGTATAGATTTGGCTTATTTTATTCCTTGCTTATTATAATATTATTATTCATAAGCATACCTTTTCAGTTACCCTCATGATTTACTATCTGTAAGAGCATAAGCTTACTGTTTGTGTAATATTTGTCGCTGTATTTTAGATGGGAGTTGCTGAGGTGGTATAAGGTTTGGTAACTTCATCCGGCCTCTCAGGGAAATAACCAAGTTGTTCAGATTCTTAGCTGTATTATGTGAAGTTGTTTGTCAGCTTCATTGCTTACTACTGTGAAATAAGTTATAAAGAGGAACTTTTAATAAAAATAAATGGATTCACTCAGGGGAGGGGTATTCATTGTTGGTGAAATATGTCGAGTACCAGATGCTTTTTGGTCTCCCAAAGACCTATCAAACTGCAGATCTTTTGGCTTTGTAATATATTCAGTTCCACATTTATTCATTCAAGATTTTTGTGTCCTCATTATGTGCCAAGTACTGGGTTGGACACTAGGTGACAGAGATGAACAAATCCCTAATCTTGGGATTTCACCGTGGATGTTGGAATTTAGTACCGTTTAGCTTTATTAGGTTCTGCAGTAGTCCCAAGATTTTCCAAGATCATCCTGTCTTCCAGTGTTCTATTGATTCAACTTCAGAATATATCCCAGACTCTGTCCCTCTTTACTCCTCACTGCTGTTGCCCTGGGTCCATCTGCCATCATCTCTCACCTGGATTATCTCAGTAGTTTCCCAACTGGTTTCCTTGTTTCCATTCTTGCCTCCTTCTGTCTACTCTCAATATAACAGCTAGAACAATCCTTTTACAATGGAATTCAGATCATGTTTACCCCTCTGTTCAAATTCTCCAGTGACTTTCCAGTTTTTACATGATCTGGCTCCTACTACCTGTCTCACTGTGTTTCCTACTACTCTCCTGCTCTTTCTCCTCTTAATAAACACTGGGCTCATGGTGTTTCCTTTAACATGCCAGGCATGCTTGACCCTGTCCTGTCTCAGGGCCCTGCTGTTCCCTCTGCCTGGAACATTCTTCCCATAGTGTCTGCATGGCTCGCTCTCTCACTGCTTTGGATTGCTGCTCAAAAGTCACCTTATCAAAGGCCTTTCCCAAAGGTTTAAAAATCATTCTACTATAAAGACACATGCATACATATGTTTATTGCAGCACTATTCACAATAACAAAGACTTGGAACCAACCCAAATGCCCATCAATGATAGACTGGATAAAGAAAATATGGCAGGTAAACACCATGGAATACTATGCAGCCATAAAAAAAGAATGAGTTCATGTCCTTTGCAGGGACATGGATGAAGCTGGAAACCATTATTCTCAGCAAACTAACACAGGAACAGAAAACCAAACACCACATGTTCTCACTCATAAGTGGGAGTTGAACAATGAGAACATACGGGCACAGTGTGGGGAACATCACACACCAGGGCCTGTCGGGGGGTGAGAGGCAAGGGAAGTGATAGCATTAAGAGAAATACCTAATGTAGATTATGGGTTGATGGGGGCAGCAAACCACCATGGCACATGTGTACCTATGTAACAAACCTGCACATTCTGCACATATATCCCAGAACTTAAAGTATAATTAAAGAAAAGGAAAAGAAAAAAAAAGTCACCTTATCAAGACCCTCTAGGCTACTCTGCATAAAATATACCCCACTTCATATTTCCTATTTGATGTCTGACTCCCCCTCCTCCTTCACTAAAACGTAAGCTCCATAAGGGAAGGGATTTTGTCTGTTTTGTTCTGTTGTATCCCTAAATACCTAGAAGGTGCTCAGTAAATATTTGTTGGTTGAATGAATAAATCAGCCTATTATTTAATCAGTCAATGTCCTCTGTAAAAAGGACTTCTCATACCAGTGGCACATATCTGTATGATGGTCAGTGTAGGGAGGGACATGGTCAGAATGGCTCTGTCTGTGTGGGATAGTTTTTCTTAGTATAATCCCAGAAGACTCCTATTGGGGTTAAGCCACAGATTTAGCGTTATTAGTACCACTCTTTAATCATAAAGTCAGAGGATGTTATGATTGGAAGGGATCTGGGGGACTGTTTGGTCCACTTTTCTCATTATTGATGTGAGAATAACAGAGCCTAGAGAAAGTAAGTGAATTACTCACAGTCATAAAGCTATAGGGGTCAATCTGAAATTAGGCTTCTGACATACGATTCTGTAGTCTTTCCTGCATGTGTTCCCCCTGGCTGAGACAGTTTGTGGGCTTTCAGAGTTGACAATTTTCTCTCCAGTCTCTAAACAGGAGCTTTTATCTGGACATTCTAGGTTAGCATAGATGGACGATGACCCTGTAATGTGTGGAAAGTCCCAAAGGGTGAGTACTGTGAATGGGAACTACCCCAGATGTGTCAGGAGCACCACAGGCACGCTCACTCTTCCATTGGCAGGAGATGTGTAGGGTGGAAAGGAAACCAAAATCAAGACCCTTTGTTGCTCCAGTTCTTTTATTACATGTCACAGTCGAATGTGTCTCCATTTAAATTCAGATTTTTTGATGAATGGCCAGACCAGCTGCAGGCCCTTTGGGCCAGAAGCCTTGATCTCGCCAACTGTTCATTTTCTTGATGGACTTCCTTATTTCAGGCATTTGTGTGTAGCTGGTCTATTGTGGAGTTGTCAGAGGGGTGTAGAGCCCCCTCTTTGGGACAGTCAGTCCTCCCTGTGCAGCATGTCCTGAAGCTGGCCTGCCTCCATCCTCTTTCTAAGTGTGTGAGGTCTTTTGTTAAACAGGGTAAAGTGAGGGAGGACTCCTAAAGAGAGAAAAACTCCTCCAGCATTTGCTGGAACGTGTTTGTGAACTGAGCAAGATGTAATTGGGATGGCATAAAAAAAAGACTTACATTTACTTAATTTCTTGCTGTCTGGTTTGTGATATATGGTGCCCCAAATTGAGGTTAGAAGGAGCTTTGATCATATGTCAAGGAGGTGTCATATTTAATTCTACTCCCTGTGGCCTCTCTTACAATACCAGTCATGCATAAAGCCCGTGGTTTTGCTGCATCTAGTTTTACTGAAGCAAAGGCTCTGCACTTTCATAGTTTACACTGACATATTTCTAGTTTGCATCTGAAATGTACTCTGAGGATGCTGACTTCCAGATAGCCATTTTTGGGTTAAGGGAAGTTCAAGTCTCCTGAGTATAGTAGCTACACCACCTGGAGAGCTTCATTTTGGTTTGGTGACAAAATTTATTTTAGCTTAGTTTTCTTACATTAGGTGGGCAAAATAAGAAAGGCCAGAAAAGTTTAGGACAGTTTTCTGAGACACTCAGCAAAACTATGAGGCCTAGAATTGAGAACTGGGTATTACCCTGTAGATGATGTCTTTTCAAGCTGGGCTAGTGGAGTTTCTGAGCAGCAGCTGCATTCTCCTTGTACATCTTCAGGTTTTGTAGGATTACCTTTAGCCCTCTAAGTGATCAGATCTGCCTCACTGTCACTCATGGGAGCCCTTGATCTGGACAACGTGGACCTTGAGTAGCTGAGTTCAAACAACTGAGGTGGCAGGAGGGATCTCCCCCTTGGTTCTTTTTTTTTTTTTTTTTTTTGAGACAGAGTCTTGCTCTGTCGCCCAATCTGGGGTGCAGTGGTGCGATCTTGGCTCATTGCAGCCTCCGCCTCCTGGATTCAAGTGTTTCTCCTGCCTCAGCCTCCTAAGTAGCTGGGATTACAGGCACCCACGACCATGCCTGGCTAATTTTTTTATTTATAGTAGAGATGGGGTTTCGCCATGTGGGCCAGGCTGTTCTCGAACTCCTGACCTCAGGTTATCCACACGCCTCAGTCTTCCAAAGTGCTGGGATTACAGACATGAGCCACCGTGCCCGGCCCTTATATATATTTTTTAATTGAAGAGGTAGAGAAGCAATCTCAAGGTCAGGACAACTTACCCTGAGGTTCTCACTTGTCAGGGATTGTGCTGGATTCTGACTTAGGTTCTGCCATCAAACACAGAATGCCCTGATCCTTAGAGGCAGAGGCAGCTCTTTAGCCTATAGGGTAAATAACCGGGAATGGAATTCTCACCAATTCTTATCTTCTATGCTAAAAGTTTTACTTTAAGATTTAGGCCTGCTTTTTTCTTTCTCTCTGTCTCTCTCTCTTTTTTTTTTCCCCCAGTAACAGTTTAAAATTGGTGCCTTAGACGCAAGCAAAAAGATATTAGCGCAGCTTTAGAAATAAGTGTGAGTCCACATGTAATTTTTTAGTTTCTCCTCTCCCTTCGCTTTTTGCTTTCTTGGTAGTATGCTAATTGTATTCTTTTTCTGCATCTTTTTTCCCCATTCTTTGGCAGATATTATTACTTGTCTTGAAAGAGTAGGTGAAGAGCTGTTTTTAGGACTCTTTGAAAGGGTACAGTATGGATGACAGTCTTGGCTAAATGTAATCAGATCCAGGAAGCTGGAGTCAGTGTGAGCTGGAATCAGTTCAAATTAGCAAAGCACTGGCGCTCAGTGGCAGGAATACAAGTGACCACAAAGTGTTAAACACATCTGGAAAGGGATTCTGACATCATCCTGAGAATCTTTGGGGAATACATATAGCCTGTAGACCCATTCCTCTTTGACCCTATAAAGATTCTTTAAAGAGTAATACCCTGAGTGGTTTTCTGGCCAGCTTGCCTGCTCATTTATCTTTGAGGAGATGGAAGGAGACAATATGCCTCGTGGAGATCCACAGGCCCTAGAGGTGTATGGATTGTGCATTTGGAAGTGCTGAAGCTGAGAGACTGGGTCTCTTGGTGGACCCCAAGGGATCTGCTTTTCCTCTACTCATTGTCCCTACACAACTTTTCCTGGCAGCCGGCATTGCTGTTTAGATGGGTTGTTCTTTGCTGTTTAAGTTGTTTGGCAGTGGTGTGTCAGGATGCGGGTTTTCTTAATACTTTCCCAGCTGGTTACTTGAGTGGTGGTTACGGAGGGGCTGTTCTGGGGCTGCTCTGGAGCTGTTGAGGTCGGGTGTCTGTCTGGATACTCACAGCTGGTCTGTCGAGGAGAACGCTGTTCTCGTTCTGCTGCCTTTGGTGGTGCTGTGTGTGGCTCTTTAGATGTGGGTGGAGATGAGTTGGGGGAGTTAATGAGATCTTTTTTTAGCTGCTTTTGATAAAGTAGTCTGTACTACAGGATTCATTGTGACTTTTTCCCTTAACCTGTGCATACTTCTTTGCTAGCCTTTGTGAAAGAGAGTTCAGGCCCTCTTGCCCTCTTGCTCTTTCGCTCTCTCTTGCCCTTCTGCCTTCTGCCATGGGATGATGCAGCAAGAAGACCCTCACCAGAGGCAGGTTCCTTGACCTTGGACTTCCTAGCCTCCAGAACTGTAAGAAATTCTTTTCTTCTTTTCTTTCCTCCCTCCCTCACTTCCTTCACTCTCTCTCTCTTTCTTTCTCTTTTCTTTCTTTCTTTTTTTTTTTTTTTTTTTTGAGGCGGAGTCTCACTCCGTCCCCCAGGCTGGAGTGCAGTGGCTAGATCTCGGCTCGCTGCAAGCTCCGCCTCCCGGGTTCACGCCATTCTCCATTCTCCAGCTTCAGCTCCCGAGTAGCTGGGACTACAGGCGCCCGCCACCAGGCCCGGCTAATTTTTTTTGTATTTTTAGCAGAGACCGGGTTTCACCGTGTTAACCAGGATGGTATCGATCCTTTTTTTTTTTTGTTTTAAATTATGCAGTCTGTGGCATTCTGTTATAACAGCATGAAATAGACAAAGGCTCCATTTTCAAGAGCAAGCCCTTTTGTAGTTTCTGAGCTAATTATGACTGCAAAGGAAGTTCTATAGGTAGCCTCAGATCTACCACCTAGTAAATCTGCTACTAACCAGACCTAGAATCTAGGATTCTAGATCAAGTGCTGGGCAACATGATACCTCTGCAACTTGGCACCTCCCTATATCCCTCCAGTTGGTTTGGCCCATCAGGACTAATATTACCCCTCATATCCTAGTCTCTCTTGTAGGCAGAAGCCTTGCCTAAACCCTAAGCTGCTTAGCTCACATTCTGTCTTGCTTTTTCTGTTTTTTTTTTTTTTTTTGGAGGGGGTTCAAATATAAAATATATGGGAAAGAAATATAATGAACCTCCATGTACCCAACACCCGGATTAAACAGTTATCTCAATTTTGCCAGACTTGTTTCATCTACTTCAATCTCCCTAAACATTTACGTTTGTACAGGAAAAACTGGATAAATACCTAATTCTCCACCCTATCTCCCATTTTAAGTCATTTTTCAGAATAATGAGTTAGTGACTAGTAACCTCCACTGTAGTGACCAATAGTTTTTTTTCCTGAATATCGTAATGAGCTCATAGATTATTGTTTGCATTTGAGCCCATTGTAGTCACTATTAATTGTTTTAGATGCTCATATTGTCTCAGGTTAATAAGTATCTCTTCAAGTTGACTCCCATGGCCTTTTGACGTGATCCTGTTGGACTTGGATGGCTTCCTTGCTTTCTGGCAAAAAAAAAAAAAAGATGTTCCAGGATCTATATCCTGCACCATACATGGAGTCAGCCATTTCTCTAGGGGGTCTTGATTCCTTTTAGTAGAGAACACAGTTTGGGCTCTAGGACTGAATTACTTTTGTGAACCTCCTCTCCTGCGATTACAGCCTGCACCCCTGCTTATAGCCAGTAGAAGCTCTTGTTGGGCATCAACAGATCGAAAACCACCATGTAGTTCTGCCTCACTCTTACAAAGATTCATCTCTTGAGAATTTTGTGCTCTACCCCCGTTGTAGTCTTTATGGTTTTGAAACTTTTGCTTCAGTCACCCTGAATTTTGCCAGCCATAGACATGCCATACCTTGGATTGCCAAACTGCCCTCACTGGAGCCAATTTCTCTGGTTAGAATAGTTGTCCCAACTCATGCTTAATACTCCAGTAAGCAAGGTTCCACCTGGGCTCAGGTTAACTTTTCTCCTTTGGGCCCTGTGTTCTACCAGCATTCCATTTATCTGAAACCCTTCCTCACCTCATCAAGATCTTATCTGGTCTTTAATGATTTACTCTGCTGCTTCCTGGGTTCTAAAGAACCCAGTTCAGGAGTTCCTCTTTCAGTTCGAGATCTTATTGGCCTGTCTCGTCAGGTTGGTGTCAGCCCAGCTAGGATTAAACAGAATGGGGTGGGGGGTTGTAGTGCACTTTTGACACAGTGTGTACCTGGCTGACTACTTCTCTGTCTTTTTTTTCCTATTGCAATTCATGAGTCTCAGCATCTTCTGAATGGTGTTTAGTAGGTCATCATGTTGAGTTCCTGCTCTAGGGAGTAGCATACTCTGGCTCTGTATCATTGGCAAAGGGATTTAAGGTTAGATGATAGGCTGCAGTTTTGTTAAATGGAACAATATGAAGAGATGGCATTATAAAGAGGCTTGGCAGCAGGGCCCATTTGAATGGTTGGTTCTTGATTCCCATGTTGATATAGGCAGATCCTTGACAGGAATTTTGAATGGTCCCAAATGTGGTAAATCGCTGGTACATCAAGTCATCCTCACAGTTGTCTGTGTAACTGTGTTGAATGCAGTTTTGTGAATCTCTGGTGATTGTCTGTATAGGGCTTAATCATTTAGTTATTTTAGTTGAGCCTGTTCAACTTCTTCAAGAAGATAAGATATGTGAAAGAGATGCAGACAGTAGGGAAAAAGCTCTAGGAGCTTTGCTCCCCCATCCTCTACTTGGGTTCTGGAACTGGACTCATAGGTGAGTAGTGAGGAGCTGGGCTCAAGCGAATTAATCCCGGATCTAGCTGTGCTATGTGTTCGCTCCAGTCCTTGTGTCAAAGTTCACTTTGAGCCACTCAGAGTAGCGTGTAGAGTGGTCATTCAGGACTGTGCTAACTTACACTTCATTGTATCAAATGGGAGATCCAGTAATTTATAGTCTATTATTTCTGGAGTCTGGAGATGACTCTGTATAAGCTTTGCTGAAGCAGATTTTATTACATTAGAAGAGAACCTACCTGGCTGCATCCAACACCAGAAGCTTTTAGATGCTAAGTAAGGAGGTCATAGTAAAGGTAACAGAATGACTCTGGAACCCATTACCCCACCCAAGAAGGAGAGTAATGAATTCCGGGTTGCCCTCTTTTCATTTCCCTTTGATTTTGAGTAATAAATTCCCTCCTTACTTCCCAGCTGAACAATTTGGGAGTCTGTATTCCCTAGAAAGACTCTGTTCACATACCCATCAGGCTAAATTAGGTGAAATCTCTTTGGCCTTAATGAATGTTGAAGGATTTTAAAGGGCTAATGGAAATTCTTCTAGAAGTAACAATTCCCATTCTATTGGTGAGGCAGTTCTAAAGAAAGTCCCCGAACCTCTTAGGTTATTTTGTACAGCAAAAGAACCAGCATTGGGTTTTCTTTGCTAATAGATGACAGGGAGAATGTAGACACTTGGAATCCATGGAGAATCCCTAAGTTGCATTTTAGCCTTCATGTTATGTCTCCTTTCCTAACCTTTTTACCAGAGCTGATCACAGGAAACAGCATGATAGATTTGCATGACCTAGCTCCCTGCCTTCTCCTGCCATTCTTTTAGAAAGTGGTGAGTGGCTGCCTGCCAGGTAAAATCTGGGTGACAAAATCCAAAGTTAGATTCAGAGTTATAAGCATAGCCCTCACCCAAGTTGCTTCCAAAGAAAAGAAAGGAAGAGTGTTGTGTAAAGTCTTGCTTCCTTGCCTTTAAATTGGGTACTTATTGAGTTACCACATTAGAATCGTGCATTGTGCTAGTTGTTGTACTCCTGTTGATTGATTAATTTCATTCTACATTCATGGAACACCAACAATGTGCCTGGTACTATGCTGAGTACCTGAGATAAAAAGATAAACAGGAGTTGGTCCTTACCACTTAGAGCTCACAGTCTACTACTGCGAGAGTGTGGGAAGGTGTGATAAGAGCTATAGTGGTCTTGCCACATAATTTGCATTTGTATCTTAAAGCCAGTGGGGAACCATGGAAATATTTTAAGCAGGGGAGTGACATGATTCATTTGCATTTTACTTTTTTTTTTTCTTTTATGAGACAGAGTCTTGCTCTGTCGCCCAGGCTTGAGTGCAGTAGTGTGATCATAGCTCACTGTAACCTCAGACTCCTGGGCTGAAGTGATCCTCTTGCCTCAGCCTGTTAAGTAGCAGGGACTACAATTGTGCACCACTACACACTGCTATTTTTTTTTTTTTTTTTGAGATGGGGTCTCACTCTTGTTTCCCAGGATGGAGTGCAGTAGCGTGATCATGGCTTGCTGCAGCCTCACCTACCTGGGTTCAAGCGATCCTTGTGCCTCAGCCTCCCAAGGTGCTGCGATTACAGGTGTGAGCCACTATATTTGGTCTCATTTGTATTTTTGAAAGATCACTGGTGGCAGTGAAGATACCAGTGGGTTGGAGGGAGGGAGACTAGAGGCAATAACAATTTAGATAATAGATATTTACTGAGCCCCTGCTAAGTGCCAGGCACCGATCCAGGTGCTGGGAACCTAGGGGGTGAGTGAATAAGACAGTCTCTGCCCTCATGGAGCTTACATTCTAATAGTGGTAGAGTAGTGTGGTGGTAGGAAAGCAGACTATATATATACATATATATATACTATATATATACATGCAACAAATGATATTTTTTCAGATGGTGATAAGTAATTTGAAAAAATAAATAAATAGAGCTATGGGAGTTAGAGTGTTTGGGCATTGGGATGGGTACTAATGGGAATGGGCAGTGAAGGCCTCTCTGAGGAGGTGATATTTGAGCTGAGGCAGCTATGAGAAGACCTAGGCAAGAGTGGTCCTGATGGGTAGAACGGCAAGTGCAGGGACCTAAGATGTGAACAGGCTTGGCACGGTGCATAAGCACCGTAAAGGTGGTCAGAGTAGCTGGAGCATGGTGGAACCCAGAGGAGCAAGTAATAGTCAGTTGAGGGTGGAGCACATTCTAAGCCATGGGAAGGAATCTGGATTAATTCCAGTGGAGTAAGAAGCACTGTGATTAATTAAATCAGGGGTCAGCAAACTACAGCCCATGGGTCAAATCTGTCCTGCTGCCTATTTTTATGAATAAGCCATATTGGAACAGTCATACCCATGGGTTTGTATATCGTCCATGGCTATTTTTAATGTTAGAAGAGCAGAGTTGAGTAGTTTCAACAGAGAACATATGGCCCAGAAGCCTAAAATATTTACTATCTGGCCTTTATAGAAAAAGTTTACTATCCCTGAATTAAATGATCTAATTTAAGTTTTGAGGAGACACTCTGGCTACTGTTGAGATAATTAATGGTAGGAGACAAGAGTATATCTGAATAGTTCAGATAAGAAATAACTAGATGTTGAGCCACCAGAAAGCAAAGATCACACCGTTTTTGTTCTGTTTAAAAACACCTAGGTATGCTTTATACTCATTAAATATTGTTGAATGAATGATGAGATGCTGAATAAGGGAGTGCCAGTGAATATGAAGGGGAAGTGAGGTTTTGAGAAATATTTAGGAGGTAAAAAATCAGTGCAGCTTATTGTTGACAAGGTGAATAGAAATAGGAGTAGGACAGAAGGAGGACTGTAGATGCCCTTCAGGCTTCTGGTTCAGGGATCTTGGTGCATGGTTGGTGTTCCATGAACCTAGAATGAAATTGATCAATCAACAGGCTATTAACTGAGACAGGAGAAGTGGAGATACAAAGAGCATACACTGCCAGGAAGAAGGAATTAATCTTTGGACATGAGACTCCCGGGACATCCAGGTAGAGATGTCTGAAAGGTAGTTGGAAAGACAGAGCTCGGTGGCATGATGCCTAGACTTATGGTAACCAGAATTCTGGAGTCATTAGCTAGTGTGGGCTCTCCTAAGAAGGGTGTGTGATGAGAAGGTCAGGGTTGGATTTCATAAGGCATTCATTTCCATTACATTTTGGATCCAGAGAGGAGGCAAAGGTAAACTAGCTGTGTGGACAGTTTGCATCAGTCAGTCAGTCAGATCATCCCATGACCATGGCATATTTTTTCTGCAGAAGCTGATAGGCTCAGATGAAGCTTTGCCTTATCTGTTCCTCTGGCTGCCAACCTCTTTCTCTTA
Organism: Homo sapiens; assembly: GCF_000001405.40. Taxonomy (NCBI): domain Eukaryota; kingdom Metazoa; phylum Chordata; class Mammalia; order Primates; family Hominidae; genus Homo; species Homo sapiens. Next base: position 206,259,233 of record NC_000001.11, read on the forward strand.
GTTGGGTTGACTGGGGCAGTGGTGGAGGTTTCTTCCCAGACTCTCTGCTAAGGTTGGAACATTTGTGGCCTTTTAATTCTGTAGGTGATTCATATTTGCATTTATCTTTTTTTTTTTTAAAAGAGACAGGGTCTCATCCTGTCACCCAGGCTGGAGTGTGATGGCATGATCATAGCTCACTGCAGCCTCGACCTTCTGGGCTCGAGTGATCCTCCCACCTCAGCCTCCCAAGTAACTGGGACCACAGGTGCGTGCCACCAAGCCCAGCTAATTTTTTTATTTTTTGTAGAGACAGGGTCTCCCTATGTTCCCCAGGCTGATCTCAAACTCCTGGGCTCAAGTGTTCCTCTCACTTTGGCTTTCCAAAGTACTGGGATTACAGGAGTGAGCCAACATGTTTGCATTTATCTAGTTGAGGCTATGGGTAGGTAGAAGTGTCTAGTTGTTCTTGGTGTTTTGTTAGAGCAAGAACTCTCTGACACAAGGGTTAGGCAAGTGGCTAAGTTTTATTAAACATTGTTAAATATTAATAAATTTATTAAATATTATTAAATATTATTAAATTTATTAAATATTGTGGGTTCTTTTAACCCACAAAGCTAGATAAACCCATTAGAAGTCCTGAACAATAGCTTCCCCTTTCCTTTTTGTCTGGGGAAGGGGAACCACAGAAATACTTAATAAAAAAGCACTTGTGCTGAAAATGGTCTTAAAACTGGATGCAAATCTCCCCTTTACAGAAGTTCATTATGAAAACCCAAGGATGAAATCAACATTGTAAAGGGAGTAGGGAAGGAGGACCACTCTCTATCCCGCTCTTCCACCCCCCTCATATTTTTTTCAGCATACTGTCACACCTCTGTTGTTTGTACATTTTTAGAAGACACTTTTTGAACACATTTTAACCCCGTCTTACATATAATATTCAAATTTTAGGGTCCCATGTTTTATGAGTTTCTCCTTTTCTAAAGAAACAGTTGAGTAATAGTTTTGCTACTCCTCTAACCTAAATTATTCCTGTCATGAGGTTAGTGACTTCTGACAGGCAGAGGTAAGTAGTTTAAAGCCTGATTACCTAGTCCCAAAGTGGACGAAATGGAGCCTTGAACCAAATAAATAGGTAGTAAAGGTAAATTTAAAATATGAAAAAAAATTTTTTTGAAAGGCATATATGTTGACGAGTATTATTTCCACTCCTGTCTGGTCCACCCTGTAGAACCCCTGCTCCTTATTGTGGGTGTCACTCTTAATAGTTCCTTATATATCTGTGCAGTGTTTCTTTATGTAAATAAAAGGAGATATGAACATATGTTCTTACCCCTCCACGTTCTTTTACATGAAAGGTAACTCATTATCTAACCTGTTCTGTACTATTTTGTCCTTAACAGTATGTCTTGGGGATCTTTCCTTGTTGGTACAGAGAAAGCTTTCTCATTCGTATATCAGAGCTGCATAGTATTCCATTGTATGGATGGCTGCCTCCTACTTTATTGAATCAGTTCCTTACAAATGTGCACTTGAGTTGTTTCCAGTATTTGCTATTACAAGCAATACTTCAGTGAACAAAGGCAGCTTTTTAAAGGGTCGCACAGCAGTGCATATGCTACTTAAAATGAGATTATTATTCTTCATTCTTAGAATGCCAGTTGGTTTTGTTGGTTGATAAATTCCCAATTACTCGTATTCACGAGTGCAACATTGATGATGAATCTGACATCCCTTCATAACTTAAGAATCATTAGTATGACTGCCCCATGGAGGCATACTGTTCTATCTCAGGTTTATTTCAATAATAAAACCTTTGGAAATTTTAATAATGAAACCTACTTAAGACCCTTTGCTTAAGAAGTCTGAATCACTGATCACTGCAATTACTGCCATGGCAGCTGTAGAGCAATTTAACAGGATAATAGTGAATAAGATAAATTACACTTCAGATTCTTAATGGATTGATGTGCAGAAGTATGCAAGGGAAGATGGGGGTGGGAGAGGAGCGCCTTTAAAATTTCAGCACACAGTAATAAAATAGGGAACTGGGCCATTGTAGCCGTTACTACTAGGAGTTAGTAATCTCGTACAAACCTCTGGGGCTCTGTGGTGGGTAGAATGTCCTGTTTATTATAGACAACAAATTGGGTTAATTCTCTTGTTTGTGTGCCTCTGTGGAGTGGGTGGAAATTCTAGGTGACTTGCTAATTGTCTTATTTGGAATACTCCCATTTCTACTAAAGAATTAGTATCTTTGGTATAAAAATAAGGAGGCAGACCAGTTTTACAAATAGCTGCTGGCCAGGAGAATAACAGTTTCTGCCAGGTGAGCAGTTAAAAAAAAGGCAGACTGGAAAAATAACTGTGGAATGGTGTTTCTTATTTACAAGGCTAACATAAAGTCTCCCTGTGTGTTGGGGATGGGGGAGGGGACGGATTGGCTAAGAAGTAAGTACAGTGCTTGCTTTGTATGTCCCTCGATTTGTGTTTAGGGGAGAATAGTGAGGATGTGGTCATACGGGTAGGCGTGGGGCCCGAGGAAGGGGTCCAAGGAAGCAAATCCAGGAGACTTGGCTGCAGTTCTACCCTTATGGACATTCCTTGGCACTTGGTCACATTGTGGACACCTCAATATCTGCTGGGTATTGATCTTGTATACCTTCATTCTCAGTACAAAACCCTTAGCACCCATTATCTCATTCTTCCCCACCAAAGCCCTTGGAGATGAAGAGCAGGAGAATGAAGTCTTTTCTCTCTTAATGTTTAATCAGCATTAACGCACCTTTAAGTGCCATTGGATTTAGAGCAGTGTTGTTATTAAAGCAAACTAAATTGTCTTGAAGTGTAGAAAGCACTTTTAGAAAAAGAAGCAAGGTTAGGCTGAGAGAACAAGACAGATGAAGTTACTCCTCTGAGCTGGAAAAGATCTTGTGTCAAAGGAGGAAGCCTCAGAGATAATCTGGGCCAGAAGATTCTGTGTTCAAATCCTGGTTCTGCCTCTTGGTCAAGTTATATAACCTCCGATTTATAATTATTTAAATCTGTAAAGTAAAGAGAGTGATATCTACCATGCAGTGTTTTTGTTTTTTTTTTTTGAAATGATTAAATGAGATAATAGAAATAAAGTTGGCCCTCAATAGGTGGTAGCTGATACTATTAATATTATTAACAGAGGGTCTTCTAAAGAATCTCATGATAGTTTTGGAGCAAAGGAAGGCACTCTCTTTTACATGAGGAGATTGGTACTTCTGGCAGTAAATCAAGAGGGCTGCCTTTAGGGTTGGGAAGCATATTGACAGTATTGGAGGAAGGTATTAGTTGCCATGGCAACTTGGGAATTCATTTGGAGGGAGAGTTGTGACTGGAGGTTATCTCACTGTAAGAGACTGACTGGTGGAGATTAAAAAAAAAAAAAGCTTGTCTGGCAGGAATGAAATCTTGCTTGCTGTATATCTGCAGGAAATACCAAGAGATGTGCTCTAGAGAAAGTTCCAAACATGAGTCAGAATGATGTGCAGGCCTTCTTCGGTAATGGGTGGTTGTGTCTTAGTGGGCCTAAATGCTGCCACCAGTTGATTGCTTTTGTTCGCATGTATTACTTTGGTAAAAAAATAAATGTATGAATGGGATTTCAGTGAACAGGGTTTTATCGTGGGTTTTGTTTTTTTTTTTTTTGTCTTCTGAAAACATGACGTCAAATTGTTGGATATTTTCCTACAGTTGGTTTAGTCCCCAAGAAGGTTTTAGTAAAAGAGCATGAATACAGAGCGTACCTGAATCATTTACCTTGTTCCTAAGGTAAATGACATAAGGAATACAAGTATTTCCTTTTGATTGGGCAATTAAGACTTTTTTTTTTCCTATAAAGGTTCTCCTGATAGTGCCACTTGATTACTGATTTTGAAAAGCCTCTTGGTATGATGTACTTAATGTCCATTGTTAGTTTGTCTGCTTGTTTAGTACATCTGCTGTTATCTGTTACCTTCTGATTGCAGCCTTGCCTGGAAACAGGGCTGGACCAAATGAACCCCTTAAAACAGCAAGATTCTGGAGTCGCTATTTAATTTTTTACAGGCTTCCAGTGCTTACTCACATCTATTTCCTTCCTTCCCTTTCAAGTTAGGGGTACCATTTGACTTGCATTGGCCAGCAAAATGTGGCCATACATGGCAATTCTGGGCAGAAGCAGTTGCCAGTATGGGACAGTTCAGTGCTCTCTTTTCTTGCCTTGGTGATGGTGAAAGTTTGTGAGCAGGTGGAACCTCTGTCAATCTGAGCTCTTGAACTACAATGATGGACAGATTGCCCCTCCCTGACCCTTGTTGGACACACAGCATAAAAAATAAATGAGCTTTTGTGAGGTTAAGCCACTGAAATTTTGGGGGTTAGTTGTTCATGCAGCAGAACCCAGCCCATTCTTACTGCCTTAATAGTCATTTAATACATATGTATTGAGTATTTAACTTTGTGCTGGGCACTGTTAGGTTGGGTATATAACAGTGAACAACACAGAAGTCTCTTCTCTAATGGAGATTACATCTATGAGGGAGACATAATAAATAAACAAAGATAATTAAATATTGAGATAAGTGCTATAAAAGAAAATAAACAAGATCATGTGATAGAAAAATCTCCAAAGAACAAAGAGGCTATGAGAAGGAAATGGGAATCCCCCAGGACTCTTATTAATGACTTTTAATATTTCCCTATATGTCTTAAGACTCTGGATACTTCTAGAGTAGTTTCTTATGCCTTGGAAAGGGGATAACACTGAAGGCAAGAAAGCAATGTGTTGTATTACTTGGTAGCATGTGACAAAATTAAATAACTAGTGTACTCCAAAATAAATGACAACCGAGAATGATATTAGTTTGCTCTGCATCTTTAGAAACTCATTAGTGTCCCGCTGGGTTTAGTGGAAGATGAAATCTGAGCTTTGTTTATGTGCTGTGTTAAGCCCCTCCCCGAGGGCATCCATCTTCAGCATTCAGACTTTCCAGAGATCTAGTTGCTTAGTAGGTACTGATCCAGTTTAATTGTATTAACCAGACTCTCACACTGGGGAGAAGTGGAATGCAAATTGATGCATAATGCTTATATCTTGCATAATATAATTTTGGAAGGAAATAGAATGATAACATATTTCCTTAAATCTTAAATGCTCTCCAGTGAAAACTTTGAGAATGGTTATAACTTTTCTGGAAGAAACATAGGGATAGAGCTCAGGTCTGATCATTGAGGAACATTAGGTTCAGTGCCAGTTGGCAATGATGATTTACTTTGTGTGACCGTAAGAAATCTCTTGGTACGAGGGTGGGCAGCACCTATTCTGCCTTGATAGGAAGAAATGAGAAAAGTGTTACTTGGGAGTTGTAATGGGGAAAGGAGAGCTTTATCTGCTTTTCTTTTCTTCCTTTTCTTTGGGGCAAACCAAAGCAATGAGAATAGGAGAAGGTCAGGAGAGGAGGCATGTCTAAATGACAGTTATAAGGAAGAATCAATTCATTCAAAAACTTTGGGCACTGGAAGAGTATGGGCTGTTTAATTCTATGTCCAAACTGGGAAACATGCTTTTGCTACTGCAATGAAGGGAATTCAGAGTGATGTGCATGGTGACATTTGCCCCTCATCCATCAAGCCAGTCTTATGATCATCCCTGGAGGAAGATTGAGAATCTCTAAACTGGGGCTCAGATTTTTCTTTCTGTCTCGAATATTTTAGTCATCTCATGTTGGCACATACTCTAAAAATCTGATCTGGGTGAAACTCCAGGGAAGTAGGAAAAATTGATCAAAGTAAGAACAGCATTGAAGACACACACATCCTTGCAAATATATGGGTTTATTGATACAGTGTAAATTTCCGTGCCAGGACACATGCCAACAGTTTAATGATGTGTATATAGCAAAGTCCCTTGTTAACCCCATTCAGAAACTCTAAAATGAGTTGCAAGGCTGAAAGTATTGAAGCCAAAGGCCAAAAACAATGATCATGTTACCTAGGATCTCATGAATAATTCAGCTGAGTTTAATGCTTTTTCCATGGTGAAACTAAAAAGCTGAAATATTTGGCATAATGTAGACAAATTGTACCCCGCTTCCTTTTGGGAGGATGGTTGGTCATGAGGAATGTAAGGAAGGGTGGAGAAAAATAAGGAATCTTTTCATATTTGTTTTAACCAAATATATGGAATCTCTCAACATTCCACCTCTAAAGAAGTAAAAATATAAAAATTCAAGTTGGGGATTTAAAGATGTTCTCTTTGAATGTTCATTAATAGCTGAAGATTTGGGCTTGAGAGGCACTTAGAAAATTGCTCCTAAAGTCCTAGAAAGACGGTCACAGAAATACCAAGAGAGAAGGAATGCTTGATATTCTTGGTGATAGGAATCACCAAGAATAGTGTATTGGTCTGTTTCAGAAAAATAATAGTAATTAGAGATGAACAAAAGAGCATGTGGATATTTTTGAAAGTTGTGTGCAAATTGAATTACTGTAAATCTAATCATAATTTCAAGGCATTTAGAAAAGCATTATAACAAAACCTGCCAGAAGATTAGAATTATTTTTCATAAAGTGAACGTGTTTTTTTCTCTCCAGCTTAATTTTTAAACCTAGGTTTTGGTATATTGATTTAACTTAAATTGAGACCTCTGCCATTCAGGGGATAAAGCTCTGGACATTCTACATCCTTAGACTTCAGTTCTTGCCTCTTAAATAGGTAAACTCTCCTATTTCTTTCTACTTTTCTCCTAAAAACAATGAGAAGATAAGCAAGTTAATAGAATCTAAGAATGTTTGAGCTGGAAGGTGCTTAGAGATCATCTAGTGCAGGTCACTCATTTGACTGAAACTAAGACCTAAAGAGGTTATGTGACTCTTCAGAGTCTCCAGTTATAAAAGAGAAGGCAAATTATTATGAATAGGGCAAACATAACTCAAAGAAGGCATTCTTTTTATTAAAAAATATGGGAAAGGAAACAGACCTGGCTGGCATGGCCCATTGTTTTCATTCTCTATGTTTCTTTTTTTTTTTCTTTGAGATGGAGTCTTGCTCTTGTTGCCCAGGCTGGAGTGCAATGGTGCGATCTCGGCTCACTGCACCCTCCGCCTCCTGGTTTCAAGCGATTCTCTTGCCTCAGCCTCTCAAGTAGCTAGGATTACAGGCATGTGCCACCACGCCCGGCTAATGTTGTATTTTTAGTAGAGATGGAGTTTCTCCATGTTGGTCAGGATGGTCTTGGACTCCTGACCTCAGGTGATCCTCCCGCCTCTGACTCCCAAACTGCTGGGATTACAGGCATGAGCCACCACGCCCGACCTTCTGTATTTTTTATTGCTTAAAATATGATGAGATGCCTGGACATTCAGCTGCCATCTTGTGATGTAAAGTGCTGTGTTAACTCACTGAAGAAAAATAGATGGAGCCCTGCATCCTTAATGACAATCATCAAGCTGCCTTACCAGCTATGCTTGTCCCTCCTCCAGGTTTCTTCATTGGAGGTCTTCTTCTGGATATCATGGACAATATAATTCCATAAGGAATAATCCAAAATTGGGACAAAATTTTGGTAATCTGTTTGAAGTCAGTGGAGAGCTAACAAAGCAGTAGGATATTATGGAGCCAAGATCTTGGAGAACAAGGAAATTCGAGAGTGACATTGGGACAAACTTTCCCCTAGAGGCATATCTTCTGATTCTTAAAGAGGCAGCTGAGAGGCTAGAAATCTTTCCAGCAAAACTTACTTTTTTTTTTTTTTTTTTTTGAGACGGAGTCTTGCTCTGTCGCCCAGGCTGGAGTGCAGTGGCGCAATCTTGGCTCACTGCAAGCTCCGCCTCCCGGGTTCACACCATTCTCCTGCCTCAGCCTCCCAAGTAGCTGGGACTACAGGCGCCCACCACCACGCCGGGCTAATTTTTTGTATTTTTAGTAGAGACGGGGTTTCACTGTGTTAGCCAGGATGGTCTCGATCTCCTGACCTCGTGATCCGCCTGCCTCTGCCTCCCAAAGTGCTGGGATTACAGGCATGAGCCACCACGCCCGGCCACTTTCAAACATTCATGGCGCTAGAGGCTCAAAATTTAGGACCTGCCAAGGAGAGTGGGCCGTGGCAAATATCTTTGGCTTTGGGTTGCTATTCTGAGGTGCTGAACTTTAGGATCGAGTATGAACGGAAAATTGACTAGCCCTCATAGAGACTGAGGCCCAGCTTCATACCCTCTCATTCCCTGACTGGGTTAAGGATCTTGATTGGATGGCCAGTTTTCTTAGCTCCATCTCAGAAGCAAAGGACGATCCTCTTGGAGAAGTCTTAAATTATTTCTCTAATTTCTATATTTTTTCATATAAAATGTCCAGTATGCAGTTAAAAACAGCCAGGCATATGAGGTAACATAACAAAATAATTTGAAACTAAGAGATGTAATAAATAATAGAAACAGATCCACAGAGTATCCAGATAATGGAGTCATCAGGTATGGATTTAAAAATAACTTTTCAAAATATGTTTAAGGGTAAGATAAAAACAAGATATATTATTTTGGCAGAGAACTGGAAATTCAAAACTGGATAAAGTGACAAATATAAAACTAAAAATATAATAAATGAAAGTAAGAATTTAGTGGATGGGTTTTATGCAGAGTGAATAGAAAAGAGTGATGGATGAATTCTCAATAGAAAAAAAAGGAATCCAGAAAAAAATGGATTTATATCTTCAAAATAAGGAAAATAACATACAAATAAAATTCTCTACAGTGTGAAAATATCCTTTAAAATGAAGGTGACAAGTTCTTCCATGCAAATATGATTTGGGAAAATTTTAACAAAAGGGCTTATGATGAACATGGACTATATATATATATTTTTTTTTTTTTTTAAATTATACTTTAAGTTCTAGAGTACATATGCACAATGTGCAGTTTTGTTACATATGTATACATGTGCCATGTTGGTGTGCTGCACCCATTAACTCTTCATTTACAATAAGTATATCTCCTAATACTATCCCTCCCACCTCCCCCCACCCCATGACAGGCCCCTGTGTGTGATGTTCCCCATCCTGTGTCCAAGTGTTCTCATTGTTCAGTTCCCACCTATGAATGAGAACATGCCGTGTTTGGTTTTTTTTTTCCTTGCGATAGTTTGCTCAGAATGATGGTTTCATCCATGTCCCTACAAAGGACATGAACTCATCCTTTTTTATGGCTGTATAGTATTCAAACATGGAATATATTTTAAGATAGATATAAGACTAAAGCATAGGTAAGGAAAGGGTGGAAGAATAATGGGTGTAAATGATATATGTTCTGAAAAATAGAAATAAAGCCAATAAAAATGGGAGCATAATGGAGGAAGGCAGATAAAAAGGGGAGAATAGAATCAGACTGTCACAAAGTTAATAAATAATTGGGAGTCAAAGAATTCATTATTGAAAGCTGACAAACCAGATAGTAGGAGAGTAAGAACAAAAGGGGGCTAAGGACATTATAAAAAGTATTAGTATAAAGATAACCACTAGAACAAAAATGCGGACTCCCCTAAATAGAAAAACAGGCAAAGAAAACAAATCACAGAGTGAATTTAACATAATAGAAACAGTAAAAATAATATAAAATAATATGACAGGCTTAAGACTAAATATATCAGTAATATAAATATATAAATGAGCTGAAAATCACCTAATAAAAGGAAAATATTTTCAGATTGACTTTCAAGCAAAACCAATTCATTGCTCTGTAGAAGAGACATACCTAAAACAAAAGGATTCAGAAAGGATAAAACTAGTAGGATGACTTAAAGGCATACAAAGATGCTCTTAGCAGTGTTAATTATAAGACCCAAATAACTACCAAAATGCTCTTCAGAAGTAGAATGAATAAACAAAGTGTGGTGTATTCGTACAGTGGAATACTACGTATATAATGAGAGTATGAATATGAATTTTACAAAACAACTTGGATGAATCTCATAGTAAGGAGTGAAAGAGGCATGAAACAAGAGTGCATCCTATATGATTCCATTTATATGAAATTTTAAAAGAGGCAGGACCAATCTATGGTGATAGTAATCCGTATCATGGTCACCCTTATGGAAGGGTAATGACTGGAAGGGAAGCCAAAGGGGCTTTCAGAGCACTAGCGATGCTCTATTTTTTATCTGGGTGCTGGTTGCATGATTTTGTTAACTTTGTGAAAATTCTTTAAGCTGGATACTTAAGAGTTGTGTTCCTTTCTGTATCTACGTTACATTTTAATAAAAGGTTTACATTTAAAAATATAAACTATTTACAAGCAGAAGATGAGGCTTGGGGTAAAGTCCCATGGAATAGCTGGACTTAGAGTCATCAGAGAGAATGATTTTTAATTCCAATTTCTATGAACACTGCCTCTAGGCTCTAAAGGCCATTTTCTTTTCTTTATGACACTTCAAGGTTGCTCCGTAGATTTGTTTTTGCCATCTCCAAATTAAAAATAGAGTCTAGAAAAACAGGGTAGAGAATGCAGAAGTACAGCCGAATACACAAAGGCATTTGGCATAGAGTAAACCATGGTATTTCAAATTGGTGGGATGGGAGAGAGGAATGGATTTTTCAATAACTGGTTTTGAGACAACTGGGTAGCCATTTGGGAAAAAATTAAATTGGATCCCTGTCTTCCTCCTTATATGGAAGTAAATTTTATATTGATTAAAATATACATGTACAAAATGAAACCATAAAAATATTAAAAGAAAATATAGAGGTATATATTTTTAAACCATGGAATATAATGTAAGCCTGACTGAAAATTCAGGAGCTATGTAAGAAAAGATTGACAAATTTTAAAAGTTCTACATGGTTAAAAATAATATCATAAAACCAAAAGATGAACTGGGAAAAATATTTGCAACACATGAGAAGGGGCTAATTTCCTTTATAAAGTGTTCACACAGTCAACAAAAAGTCAAAAAAGATCAGTAATCCAAAGAAAAAATGAGTAAAGAACATGAACTGTTGTTTCAAACAGACTAACTAAATAACTTACTAACACCCGCAAAGACTTATTGCAACATGGAAACCTATGAACATAGGAAATGAATGATGCCAGGTCTTATTCATAATAGAGGAATACAAATTAAATTGCAAGTACAGTATGTAGTCATTTTTCACATATTAGATAAAAAACATTTGCTCATACATTGCATTCTGAGTACAGAGTAGCAAGAAGTCTCCTATATTGTTGAATGGGCAGTATTAGAAATAATTTAAAATGTATATACCCTTTGACTTACTGGTTTCCTTCTACCACTTTATTCTGTAGATACACCCACATCTACATTCATTACAGCATTGTTTATGGCAGCAAAAAATTGGAAACAATGGCAGGTACCACCAAAAAAAAGAGACTGGTTGAATAAACAAAAGCATAGCTATGCAGTGGAATGCTATGCAGCTGGTAGAAAGAAGGGGCAGATTGATATGTACTAATATGAAAAATCTCCAAGACACACTGTTAAATGAAAAAAATGTGGCACACGTGCCACGTTTTAAAAAGGGAAGGGGCATATACACAGATGCTTGTTTACACAGTTAGTATTTCTTGAAGGATATATAAGAAAATGGTTTCCTCAGAGGTATAGACCTTTGGGGAAGGGTAGGGATGAGAGGGAAACTTACTTGTCATTGTTTACTGTTTTGTATTGAGAATGTTTCCCCCAGGTGAATGACTGTTATACCTATTTAGGAAAACAGACGAAACCAATAAAACCAAACTATTTCTATACAGTGATTATTAGCAGAGATGCCATTGGCATTTTAGATGCATTTTGGGACTGTTCCACACATTTAGGACATTACATTCCTTTCCCTTTGCACTAAATGCCAGTAGCACTTCCCTAGACACTGACAAACAAAAAGTGCCCCTGTAGATTTCTGAAAAGGCCAGGGTGTGGATTGGGGTGGTGGTGTTGTTTGAGTCTAAAAGAATGTAACTTCTCTTCAGGGTTTCCCAGTTTCCAGGTTATGTTGGCCTGGCAGGGAGGGTCTTGACCGACACGGATGGTTATGGACCTTTACTTAGTGAAAAACTCAAATGAACTTCCTTTCTAGAACTCATGGTTTTCATTCAGTGACACTGGACTTTGCCCTGGAGCAGTGACTGGTCAGGGAGCTGTATCTAAGTGGGAGTTGCACCTGTGTGGGCAAAAGTGTGGCACTCAGATTTTCGTAACAATGGGCAAGATTTCAGGAAGCAGGATTTTGGTTCCCTTACTTTAAAATGCATGGAGAATGGCTGGGTTTGGTGGCCCATGCCTGTAATCCCAGCACTTTGGGAGGCCGAGGTGGGCAGATCACCTGAGGCCAGGAGTTCAAGACCAGCCTGGCCAACATGGCAAAACTCCATCTCTACTAAAAATACAAAGCCTAGCATGGTGGAACATGCCTGTAGTCCCAGCTACTTGGGAGGGTGCGGCACGAGAATCACTTGAGCCCAGGAGGCAGGGGTTGCAGCAAGCCGAGATCACACCACTGCACTCCAGCCTGGGCAACAGACCGAGACTCCATCTCAAAAAAAAAAAAAAAAAAAAATTAAAAAAAGCATAGAGGACTGGTTGTATCCTAATAGCACTGGTCCATTTTTCTGTGGTGTGCATTTTAGCTTTTTTCCTAACAAAAAAATCTTACCACATGATTCTCTGCCAACAGATTTTCCTGAGCTGGAAGGAACAGATGTTTCTGTTGGAAATGGGCATCTGTTTCTCCCCTCACTGTGGCGTGTGCTTCCTATGAGCCCAGGCCCAGGTAACAGTGAATTATCATTAGAAGGCTCTCTCGTAAGACTCATGGGGAAGAACCTATAAGACCCTAGTCTTCCAGGAGGCCAGAAGGAGAGTAGAATGGAGGGTGAGCTTCAGAGCACTGAGGACTGCAAGGGGGAACAGAGCTGCTGTCCTGTCTGCTTGGCAGTGACCAGCAGCTGCTTCTGGCCCTCCTGAAACAGGAGGCGAGTTACTGAGACAGTAGAGAAACGCTGAGTCTTTAGAACTGTATTATCTACCTGGGCCTTATAACCTGGACATGCCCAGGGGTAAAATATATCCAAGTAGAAATCTTCCTTCTCAGAACATACCCAGAAATAATGATTCTCTATTTTGAGTACTTTCTTGTGCAGTATACTAACCAGGTGCCTACTGCTATAAATTAATTTTTTTATTTTTCATTTTTCTCTTTTTTGATGGAGTCTCGCTCCGTCACCCAGGCTGGAGTGCAGTGGCACGATCTCGGCTCTCTGCAGTCTCAACCTCCTGGGTTCAAGCGATTCTCCTGCCTCAGCTTCCTGAGTAGCTGGGACTGCAGGCATGCGCCACCATGCCCAGCTAATTTTTGCATTTTTGGTAGAGGTGGGGTTTCACCATGTTTGCCAGGCTGGTCTTGAACTCCTGAGCTCAGCTCCTCCACTCACCTCAGCCTCCCAAAGAGCTGGGATTACAGGTGTGAGCCACTGTGCCCAGCAATTTTTTTCTTTAGTCTAAGTGTGCACATTAATGCATAGGAAATCCCCATCTTTCCCCAACCCCCTAGTTTTTCTTTTCCTCTTTTTAAAAACTGGATTTTCATTCATTCTTTCTCTTTCCACCTCCCATCCCCTGCCCTCCCCAAGGCGTGTTGTAGGTACCCCCAGACCATTGCGTTAAAGCGTTCAGGATAGTGCTCTGCTGATTTTAAAAAAACATTTAAAATAACATTTCCTGCTTTTTCTAATTAGAAAAGCAACATGTTTATCATAGACAGTTTGGAAAATACAGAAAAGCAAAGTGAAGAAAATAATTATCAAGGAAAACGATATGCCTTTCTTTTAAGCCATCATTTTCTCTCCATCTTTGCAGCCACAAACTCCTTTGTTCCACTTTTTACGTCTTAGAGTAGCTGGGGGTTGGCACACAGATGGTTGGAAGTCCTTGGATCTCACTGTGTTATAAGAGTACAGAAATACAGCAGTCAGCTCTTTGGCTTTGTTTTGAAGCCCTGAAGAATGGGAGAATGCTCTGCATCACTGGAGAACATTTGACTGCATTCATCTCCCAACAAGAGTGGTTGCTGGGAGGAATGAGCAGAAGGAGTGGTGTGTACCAGACTGTCCAGGAGTCTTTCCTCCCTAGGCCTGGTCAGCTTTTGCCCTTGGACAGGGGAAGAGGATATCTGGGGATTTATATTTTCTATCAGAATTTGAGCCTTGTCACCTTGGCTGTCCCTCTGTGTCCTTGGGTTTTTAAAATGGAACCTCTTTGTTGTAAAATATTAGTTGTACAGTTGAATTTTTCAGAGTAGAATTGGGATCCAGAGTGAGAAACTTTCTCCCTGAAGGGGCTCCCTGGACTTTTGCTCTTGGCGAGTTGCTGGCAGATACTGACACTAGAAATAAGTGTCAGAGAGGTCTGATATCACTTCAGTTTCAGACTGACCCCAGAGCAACCCTTGAGGACAGCAGTGTGTAAGCTCAGAAAAGATTGTTCTAATTTTGATGACCCTCAGAGTTAAGGCTTCTAGGGGAACTCTTCATTTTCATAAAAATCCGTCTGTGGGTGGTCACTGTGTTGAGAGATGAGAATTTATGGGTTGAAGTTGTTTTTATGATTTCAGAATAAGTGCTTCTACAACGGGATATTGGGCTTGGGAGTGTAGACGTTGTGGGACCAGGAGCTTTGCAGACTTCCCTTGTTCCCAATTTCTTGGATTTTTTTTTTCTATCCCTTCATTCAGTTGATTCTGATGTCCTAGTATTTTTTCCTAGATCCCAGATCAAGAGATACTTTTATTCCTAATTCTCCCTCTGAAAATTCTATGTCTTTCAGAACAAGATAGGGGAAAAGAGAAATGAGCTTATTAAAAACTATGATATCACAAGGTCAGGAGTTCAAGACCAGCCTAACTAACATGGTGAAACCCCGTCTCTACTAAAAATACAAAAATTATCTGGGTGTGGTGGCATGTGCCTGTAATCCCAGCTACTCAGGAGGCTGAGACAGGAGAATCGCTTGAACCTGGGAGGCGTAGGTTGCAGTGAGCCGAGATTGTATCACTGCACTCCAGCCTGGGTGACAAAGCAAGACTCAGTCTCAAAAACAAAAACAAAAACAAACTACTATGGGCTGGGCATGGTGGCTCATGCCTGTAATCCCAGCACTTTGGGAGGCCAAGGCAGGAGGATCACTTGAGCCTAGGAGTTGAAGACCAACCTGGACAATGTAGTGAGACCTTATCTCTACTAAAAATAAAAAATAAAAAATTCACCGGGTGTGA
Organism: Homo sapiens; assembly: GCF_000001405.40. Lineage (NCBI taxonomy): Eukaryota > Metazoa > Chordata > Mammalia > Primates > Hominidae > Homo > Homo sapiens. The sequence goes on from NC_000001.11 coordinate 206,274,499, forward strand.
TGGTGTGTTCCTGTAGTCCCTGCTAATCCCAGAGGCTGGAGTGGGATGATTGCCTTACCCCAGGAGTTCAAGCTTGCAGTGAGCTATGATCATGCCGCTGCACTCCAGCCTGGGTGACACAGCAAGACCCTGTCTAAAACAAACAAACAAAAAACTAGGGTGGTTAAAAAAAAATCTTGGTGAACAACCTCTCTTGTGGATTGTAATTTCTCAAAGAAAAATATGATGTAAAGATTCTTTCTTTTACTCTCCCTTCCGGGTGTCTCATCAAAAAGCGTATATTCCTGAGCTTTGCTGGCAACCGTATTATTTTTTCTCTCCACCTCAGTCCCTGTAACTTTCCTCTTTGTCCATTCTGGAGTTGTGGAGGTGATAAATGGGTCCAAAAATGCTGTTAAGAGTGATCTTTAGGTGGGCACAGGTTCTTTATGATATATCCCTAATCAAGAGCCTTTACAGGTTCTCCCCAAAGTCTCTTTGTGCAGGAATGGGAGCCTGCTGTGTTTTAGACTGGATGGGGCTCTGACCAAGTATTTTTTGTCTTTCCCCGCAGGGCATAGTAGTAGGTGCTCAGTGAAGATTTGTTGGATTGAAGTGGTTTGAATTAAATATGATTTGTATGTAATTTTATATTCAAATAAAGTCTGTTCCTGGTCTGAGTTACTTTTCAAATTATATATTGTTACTCTGAAGATTGTCATTTCCTGAATTTTATTTTCTTTGTTCCTTTTCACCCACTTGCTTCCATTGTTCCAAATTTAGTCGTGTTGGAAATCAGACTAGGTAGGTGTGGAAATAATTGTCGAATCAAATTGTTCAGTCAGGGGAAGGTGGGGGGTAGATGGCTAAAGACATCAGAATCTTTTGTCTGGGTTTTAGGGTCAGAAAATGGAAACTGGCAGAGCAAAAAGGTCAAAAAGTATCAGGAATACCCTGCTTTGCTTTAAATCTCTATTTGCCTTAGAGCAGTCATCTGTAGTGTGGTGACCACAGGCTTTCTAATGTCTATGGGTTTAACCCCCTAGAGAGCAATTCCTTTGGGGTGAGGAGACTGGAGGGGATATTCTTCCCTTCCAGGGGTCTTCTCATTGCCTTCTTTTTAATTTTTTAAATTTAAATTTTTTTTTTTTTTTTTGAGACAGAGTCTCACTCTGTCACCAGGCTGGAGTGCAGTGGCGCGATCTCTGCTCACTGCAACCTCCGCCTCTCCCGGGTTCAAGTGATTCTCCTGCCTCAGCCTCCCAAGTAGCTGAGACTACAGGCACGCATCGCCATGCCCAGCTAATTTTTGTATTTTTAGTAGAGACGGGGCTTCACCACATTTGCCAGGATGGTCTCGATCTCTTGACCTCGTGATCCACCCGCCTGGGCCTCCCAAAGTGCTGGGATTACAAGTGTGAGCCACCATGCCAGGCCCCATTGCCTTCTAATAGCCCTTTTCTCTTACCCTTTAGCTCTTGGCGCTTGACTTCCTATGTCCATCCCCAATATCCCTACTCCGTGAAAGTGAGGTGAAAATGCCATCATCTTTCTGCCTGTCCTGCTTTTAATCATCTTCCAAGGCAGCAGCAAGTGCAATTCTAGTCCCTTTCAACCCCTTCCATGTGGGTGTTAGACTGAATGTTTAGCTTCTTTATGAAGATGCACATTAGCCATTCAGAAACTTAATCTCATAATGATTTGTGTGTATTGGTAAAAAAGAAAAGCCATGATCTCTGACTGGTATACTCAGATGTTCCCTTTGGTCACTGATGGCAGGATTTCAGAAGCGAAGGACCATTTAATTTAATTTTGCAGATGGCAGGAGGTAAGCAGGAAAGCTTGGTCACAATATGCCCCCTCCTGGGAGAGTGGCTTCAGTAAATTCAGGTTGCCGAGAGCCTTAGATGTGAGAAATTTAACCCTCTGGCTTCTTTCCACTTCCCCTCCCTTATATAAAACTTGGTTGTTGTTTTTGTGTGTGGGGTGGGGGGTGGGGTAGGGGGTGGAGTTGAGGAAGGGTGGGAAGGTGGAGTGAAGAAAATTGCCTGGGTTGAAAAGCCAGTGACTGATGTGAGATTACCTTGTAGTGATGTTGCTTTGGGCATATGGATTATGACCAGATACAGATTAACCCGTTCCTCTATAATTGTTTTATGGCCTCATCCTTCTGAAATTGCCTCCTTGTGGCCTGAAATCCTTTCCGGGGTTTTCCTTAGGCTGGGAACTCTGCTTGCAGATGAGAAATAAACCTACCTCTCTCCAGGGCATGAGTTCCACAGTGAAACTGAGGAGTAGATGGATGAGGAATCTTCTTTTATTTTGTTTTTAGGGTGGTGCCCTTCCCACAGGGAAGCAAGCTGCGGATTCTGAATTTGTCAATTGCACAGCAGCTGAGTATTTGCTGCCTAGTCCTGTTGAAGTTCCAGGATTGGATATCCAAGCTGTTGGCTTTTAGGATACATCCCCAAATGGTCATCTATCACTCTTTTTTTTTTTTTTTTGAGACGGAGTTTTGCTCCTGTTGCCCAGGCTGGAGTGCAATGGCGTGACCTTGGCTCACGGCAACCTCTCCCTCCTGGGTTCAAGAGATTCTCCTGCGTCAGCCTCCCGAGTAGCTGGGATTACAGGCATGTGCCACCACACCCGGCTAATTTTTGTATTTTTAGTAGAGACGAGATTTCTCCATGTTGTTCAGGCCATCTATCACTCTTTACGGCCAATAGTCACACCCAAAATTTTGGTGACTTTCACAGTCTGGCTATTGGATAAATTTGGTTTCGGATCTTGCCAAAATGAGGCAAAATTGTTTTTCTTCATGCTTCAGAGCCATGCTGCTCTATAAGGAAGTCTATATTAAATAGGTAAAGACATATTTCTTAATAAATCAGTCTAGATGATGGTATTCAGAAGCTTGACAAAATTATCTTCCTAAAACTTGTTTGTTCCTGCTTTGCTAAAGGTTAATAGAAATAACTCATGGATAAGTAGTGAACTTTTTAAAGTTGCTGTTTTTGTCTTAAATCCCTCCTGTCTTTGCTCTTTTCCCTTCCTTTGTGGTGGCTGCCAATCCTACCTTGCAGATAACTTCTCCCTCATGAAAACAGAGGAGGATCTGATATTATTAATTTATCCTGGTAGTTTGACCATTGTAATGCTGTCCGTGAACATTTGCATTTCAGTTGTTTATCTATGAGTAGAAGGCCCTCTGGCTGGGAGTGGTGGCTCTTGCCTGTAATCCCAGCACTTTGGGATGCTGAGGTGGACAGATCACTTGAGGTCAGGAGTTCTAGACCAACCTGGACAACTTGGTGAAAAATACTAAAAATGCAAAAATAAAAAAATTTAAAAAATTAGCCGGCATGGTGGTGCACGCTTGTAATCCCAGCTACTTGGGAAGCTGAGGCATGAGAATTGCTTGAACCAGGGAGTCAGGGTTTGCAGTGAGCCAAGATCATGCCACTGCACTCCAGCCTGGGTGACAGAGTGAGACTGTCTCAAAAAAAAAAAAAGAGAATAAAATAGAGTAGAAGACGCTTTTTTTCTTTTAGCCACTACCAAGTAGGTGAAGATATACTTATATGTTTTACAATTATTCATTCATTTATTCATTCACTCATCTGTGCAACAGGTATTTTTTTGATGATCATGTATCAGACACTACTCTAGATGCTTTATTTCAGTCAATACAATAAAGATCTCTGTGAGTTAACATTTCAGTTGGGGAAGAGGGAGACAAACAATAAACATGATGAATATATAAATTGCTAGTATTTAGAAGGTAATAAGTACAGTAAGGAGCATCAAGAATGCTGGGTAGTTGTGAGGGGAGTTGCTTTTTAAAATTTTTTCTTCTTTCTTCTACTTTTTTTTTTTTTTTTTTTAAAGAGACAAGGTCTCTCTCTCTCTTGCCCAGGTTGGAGTGCAGTGGCACCATGATAGCTCATTGCAGCCTCCAACTCCTGGGCTCAAGGGATCCTTCTGCCTCAGCCTCCTGAAGTACTTGGGACCACAGTCACATACCACTATGCCTGGCTAATTTTTTAATTTTTAATTTTTATTTTTTAGAGACAGGGTCTCATTTTGTTGCCCAGGCTGGTCTCAAACTCCTGGCTTCAAGCAATCCTCCCACCTCAGCTTCCTAAAGTACTGGGATTACAGGTGTGAGCTACCTGTGCCTGGCCCAGGTTGCATTTTAAAATAAGGGGTAGGGAGCTTTTAGATGAGGCCTCATGGAATAGGTCACATTTGTGCAAAAATTTAAAGGAGGTAAGAGTGTAAGCCGCGTGGATATTGGGGGAAGGGCATTTCAGGCAGAGGAAACAGCCAGTTTAAAGGCCTTAAGGTGGAGCCCTAAGTGTGCTTGGTGTATTTGAGGAATGGCAAGAAGGCCACTGTGGCTGAAGCAGAGTGCTCTGGTGGGAATGAGGCGGAAGTACTAGGAGATGAGGTCAGAGAGGAGAGGGTGAGAGGTTTTTAGGAGGAAGGGAGGAGATGCCTGATTACATCATACCATGTTAGGCTGTTGGCTTTTATTCTGTAAATATCTATATCTACATCAATTATATCTCTCAGGACTTACAACTTTCCATCTTTATCGTCTTCTGAACTCCATAAGATCTTTCTAAGAATTGAGGGGAAAGTTGATTATAAGGGAGAATATACAAAACCTGGCATCGAAGCCTTACTAGAGACCTGGAACCTACTCTTTTTGGGACTTGGTAAATTGATGAGATTCCATGCGCCCCCACCCCCCATTCTCTGGCATACAGAACAGGAATACTTATATAGCTTACTCTCAACCCAACCTTTCCCTTCGTCTGCTTCAAGAATCTCAAATACTTACGATTTTTGGCATATTTGACATTATTTTAGTTAATTTCTGAACATGTTTTCCCACTGTTAACCCTCTTACCCCAGACAGCATTTTGAAACACTTTTTTCTTTTTTTTCTTTTTTTTGGCAGGGTCTCTCTGTCACCAGGCTGGAGTGCAGTGGTGTGATCATGGCTTACTGCAGCCTTGACCTCCTGGGCTCAGGCAATCCTCCCACCTCAGCCTCCCAAGTAGCTGGGACCACAGACATGCACCACCACACCTGGCTATTTTTTTTTTTTTTTTTTGTAGAGACAAGGTCTCCTTATTTTGCCCAGGCTGGTCTCGAACCCCTGGACTCAAGTGATGCTCCTGCCTCAGCTTCCCAAAAGTGCTGGGATTACAGGCATAAGCCACCGTGCTCGGCCCTGAAATGCTTTTCTCTACTACCTAATACTTTCCAGTTCTGGAAATGAACTTTCTGACAGCATCTCATTAAATGAAATAATAGAAGTGAAAGCACTTTGAAACTCAGAAAGTCCAGGAAGAAATCGGCTGGTTGTCTCCACTCTCTTCATTACCCACCTGCATGCTAGAGGATGTACATAGCCAGAGGATCACTTTGGAGGCATTTCATTTCATTGGCGGGCGAGGGGGCAGTTCTTTTGGCCTAGTTGAATATTAGGCATATCTGGATCTAGTCTAGCCCCGACCTCCTTACAAGTCTTTGTGCTACAAAGTCCAGCGTTGGTGTGGTTTTTCAAGGAAGGATATAGAATGGTTTATTTTGGATGAGAATTTCATTTTGTGTACCTGATTTTGTATTTTTTTTTCCTCTTAAGACAAGGTTTCACTATGTTGCCCCAGCTGGTCTCCAGCTCCAAGGCTCAAGCAATTCTCCCGTCAGCCTCCTGAATAGCTGGGATTACAGGAACGTACCATTGCGCCCAGCCCTTGTTTTGTTTTTGAAAGCTGTCGTGTTACTGCTTAAAGTCTCCAAACTGTTATTGAGAACACTGACCAGAGCCCTGTCCATAGACCAGTGTTTTTCCAAGTGCAGATTGCAACTCCTTTGCAGAGTAGGTTGTGGAGCCATTTTAGCTGACTACTCACCAGCTTTCTTCAAAATGTAAATGGAATAGGATAGAAAAATAATGAAAAATTGTAAAGTGAATTGGATGCAAAAAGGGTAAATATTGTTGTGTCAGACTTTTTTGGGTGAGTGTGCATGTGTTCACATACTGGATCACATTATAACATGTATTGCTCATTATGGGTTGTGGTCAGAAAAAATTCAGAAAACGCTGTCTCAGACTGTCCCAAAGTTGTATTTGCTTATTATGGAACTGATGAGGATAGAAGATGAGTGGCTCAGAAGGTTGTATCTTGGTGAGATAAAAGAAGACATCAAATGACTGTTTTAGTTAGAAAAATAATCCCAATTGAGTTTGTTACTCTTCTATGAAGGTGGAAGATCCTGTGCCAGAACATTATGCTCTTCAGGTCAACAGGAACTAAGCTTGTTGTTTCTCTCTGCACAAAGAATTGTGCAATTTCCAGCGGGAACTCCCCTCTGGAGGTGGAGAGGGAAGGGGAAGGAAGAGTGGAGATAGAGGCAATTAGGCAGAAATCTTTACTGTGAGCCTTAGCTGACCCAGGATCTGCACATAGTTAACTCTGAGGCTTTGTTGGAATCCGCCAAAGATTCATTGTTAAAGACAGGGAAAGCACAACTCATTTCCATTTATTTTAGTTCAACATTTATGCCAGCTCTGCGCTAGGTGCTGGGATATAACAATGAATAAGACATGGTCTTGGACTTAACGGTGCTCCTAACCTGGCAGGGAAGACAGATGTAAATTGCTAATTATTGTACATTGTACTGAGTGTCATAATACAGTGTAAAATGCTCCAGTTTATGAATTAGAGGAACTATGCTTTCAGCCTTTTATTCTGAGAAATGTGCCATTTAATAATAAAGAACTGGGATATGGGTTTTTTTTTCTAAAATTTGGGGAAGACTACTTTGTTGAAAAGGAAAATGAAATTTCCAAGGGAATCAGGTTCATCCAGTCAAGCTATTGTGTTATTTTGTGTCTTTTCCTCTAAAAGTATTCTAATGTCAAAAAATTTTTTAAATCAAGTTGACATAATACACACCTGCCCAGGGAACCTGGAGACCTGTAAAATAATTTAAAACCATTTTTTTTTTTATCATATCTTTAAAAAATACTGGCAAACATAGTAATAAGAATTTGAGACTGGGTGCGGTGGCTCATGCCTGTAATCTCAGCACTTTGGGAGGCTGAGTTGGGCAGATCGCTTGAGGTCAGGAGTTTGAGACCAGCCTGGCCAACATAGCGAAATCCTGTCTCTACTAAAATACTTATAATCCTAGCTACTCCAGAGGCTGAGGCATGGGAATCGCTTGAGCCCAGGAGGTGGAGGTTGCAGCCAGCTGAGATCACACCACTGCACTCTAGCCTGGGTGACAAAGCAAGACTCTGTCTCAAAAAACAAACAAACAAACAAAAAAAACTTGAACCCGGGAGGCGGTGCTTGCGGTGAGCAGAGATCGCACCACTGCACTCCAGCCTGGGCGACAGAGTGAGACTCCGTCACAAAAAAAAAAACAAAAAAAAACCTTTTCTTTGTTGGAACCTGTAACACTTTGCTTTTACATTCTCATTGATTTTTAAAATTACTAATAACTTTTTGAGACATGTAAAATCATGACAAATTCTACAGAAGTTCTATCAAAGCAAGTCATGTAGTGTGTTCAGGGTCCAGAACCTGAGTTCACCAGCTCCAGGCTGATTCACTTTTGTCAGCTGCATCCAACCTAAGCCTGGAACCAGATTGAATCAAATGCTAAGTTTTAATGTCTTTCATTTGGTTCTTTTATTTAGTTCAGTGTTTCTTACTGCTAGCTGACTTGGCTCTGAATTTTGTTCCTGCCTCAAGCAAATTCTGAATATGCCCATCTATGGATTTGAACAGTAGGATGTTTTTTCAGAGGTGTGAAATGATCAGGCAGCTTGATAACTTTAGACATACTGTACGTTATGAAGCATTTTCTTGCTTCTTGTTGTCTTTTTCTGGTGGATTGAGTCAATGCAGTTGGTAGAATCTTTTCCACTTATGTTATTGAGGCATGTGGTTGAAAAGTGGCCTTTAAATGGTGTGAGGTGGGTAGGCAGGGGATAAATTCTTACCACAGTTTCTAGGATGAGGAAAGTGAAACTCAGAGGCCCAAATCTTCTGACTCACACAGTGATTCTGGGGCTGTCTGTAATATCTAAACGATGAGACTGATCTACTTGCAAGGTCAGGGCATGTGGTCATTTTCTTGCTAGCCTTTGGATCACCAGGCTGTCAGCATTTTGAGGGGGAGTATTTGCATCTTGCTTTATTTGGAAGATTCAGCTTGAGGGAGTCATTATTAGAAGATTCTTAGAACACTCGAGCCCTCTGAAAATGAAAAGTCTCACATTTCCCTTCTACTTTGGCTCTCTGTTGGAGGGGAACACTTATGTCATTAAAAACATTGTACTTTGCTTATCTAATTCCCACTCTGTGTTCACATTAATAGCTTCCCATTGCTCTTAGGAACAATTCCATACTTCTTCAGACTATTTGCAATACTCACCAGAGCTTGACCCCTGCTTCTTTCAACAGTCTCATCTTTTTTTCCTCTTCTCATTTAAATTCTATGCTTCAGTTACCCTGAATTTCTTCGATTATTTCGGTTCCTTGCATGCAGCTTCTTTTCTGTTGCCTCTGGGCCTTTGAACATGCTGTTGGCTGGAGTACTTTTCCTGCCTTCTTCCCATAGGTAATTCCAATCCTTTAAGTCTAGCTCCTCTGCGAGCCCCTTGCTGAGCCCTAGACCAATTTCTGTATACTCCTACAGCATCGTCTTTTTCCCCGATAATGGGCTTTTTACATTGCAATTACTTCTTATGGTAGTCTGTCTTCTCTGGTAGACTAGATTCCTTTGGAAGGCAGGCCCAAGAAGCTGGTTTAAATTACTGGAGTCTGACTAAAAAGACTTTTATATTAGACTGGTATTTCCCAACATTTAAAAATTTATGAACTTGGGCAGGGCATGGTGGCTCACGCCCATAATCCCAGCACTTTGGGAGGCTGAGGCAGGTAGATCACTTGAGACCAGGAGTTCAAGACCAACCTGGCCAACATGGTGTAACCCCATCTCTACTAAAAATACAAAAATTAGCCGGGCATGGTGGCACACCATTGTAATTCCAGCTACTCGGGAGGCTGAGGCTCACTAGAATTGCTTGAACCCAGGAGGCAGAGGCCGCAGTGAGCCGAGATCATGCCACTGTACTCCAGCCTGGGCTTCCAAGTGAGACTCTGTCTCAAAAAAAAAAAAAATGAACTTCTTTCAGAGTAATATAATTTTGTGAACCCCCTCAGGAATTTAAAAAATAATGTCATTACTTTTATAGACTATTATAAAGCAAATTTATGTAAAATATTTTCTTTTACATCAACATTATTAAATTATTATACAGCTTATTTTAATATACACTTTAAAATTTAATAGCGTCCATTTTATATAAAGATGTTTTCTCATTTAATAGGTGATATACACTAATTTATTTAAATGAATTATGTAAGCGTGTGATTTGTTTAAAATTTATAATAAAATATAGTGCTTAGTTTGAGACCAAATATACATTAAAAATATAGTTGGAAATTTAATTACTTGCTAACACATTTTTTAAAAATAAGAGAAACCTGCATTCTTGACCTAATGTTTGGAATTGCATTTCACACTCTAGAATGACTGCTTCTTACATGTAATTTTTAAGTTTTGTTTCTACATGGTAGCGGTTACCACAGAGAGTTTCAACTGCATATCTACAAGGGAGTAACACCTTGTAGCTATGGAATGCCTTTCCTCTAACAGTTACAAAGCCAATTTGGATATGGTTATCTCTATATCTTATGTCTTTAATATTGGATTTTGAAATACTAAAGATTTAATCAGGTAAATGTAACCTAGTGATCTGGTGAAAATCATCTAGATGTGAATTGGATGGCTTGGTACTGTTTTTTATGCTTCTAGTTGACAATTGGGTTTTATCAATGTCTTAGACTTCTTGTTGTTGGTTTTTTTGTTTGTTCGTTTGTTGTTGTTGTTTTTTTTGAGATGGAGTCTCACTCTGTCGCCCAGGCTGGATACAATGGTGCAATCTCTGCTCACTGCAACCTTTGCGTCCTGGGTTCAAGTGATTGTCATGCCTCAGACTCCCGAGTAGCTGGAATTACAGGTGCCTACACCACACCTGGCTAATTTTTGTATTGTTTTGTAGAGATGGGGTTTCGCCATGTTGGCCAGGCTGGTCTGGAACTCCTGACTTCAAGTGGTCCTCCCGCTTCGGCCTCCCAAAGTGCTGGGATTATAGGCTTGAGCCACCATGCCCAGCCAACTTCTTGTTTTTAATCCACAGTCCACTATGACTGTACATTTTATGATATATGACAAAGAATAAGAGCAGTGAAAAACTGTAGAATGCTCATACCATCTTGGCCTAAGTGGTGTTTGCAAAACCACCATGGCCTAGATAATGATGTTTATTAGCTCATCACCCCTAATCGTTGTGCATACTCACTTGATATATCTGAGGTTCTAAACTGCCCAATTATAAAGGGATAATTGGGAAAACAATAAGGTTGTTGATTTTTTAAAAAAGGAAACGAAGGAGTTGCCATGATTGCGGTTAGCAGTGTGAAGACCCTGGAAGACCTGCTTGAACTTCTGGGGTGTTCACAGTCTATTGCTTGGTCAGGAGCCTTAGAAAACTTAGACATATGTGTTAGGAGACCAGGTTTTGAAACTTGCTCAGGGTTGCATAAACTTCTACATTAAGTTCCATGATGCCAGATTAGTAGTCCACATTTGCATAGTAGACATGCTGTTGCTGTTCCTTTTCTTATCACGAAAAGAGCAGAAGATGCAGATTATACCTGAGACAGAAAGATACAGGGGAGATACTGAGCTTGTCGCCTACCTTTGGGCGCCTCTCATGCCTTGTATTTCACATTGAGCCTCAGTTATCAGTGACACAGGGAATGGTCCTTTTGCTCTCCACCTTCCCCATGGCTGCCTGGAGGCAGGGGAGGCAGATTGTGCCACTTGCTGACATTGTGTTGCTGTGGATTAGTTGGAGGGACAGGGACAGGAAACTTTCCTGGTGGTGCGTGTGTCACTGGGGCTCACACGGGTACTTTTAAATCTTCTTCTCACTGGCCTCTGTGATTCTGTGAACCTGGTTATTACATGTTCAAAAAGTGTCAGCTTATTTGAAAGGGATATTCTTATTTTGTATTTAAACATTACGAAAGATCATCACACTTTTTTTTGGAGACAGAGTGTTGCTCTGTCACCCAGGCTGGAGTGCAGCGGTGTGATCTCGGCTCAGTGCAATCTTTGCCTTGTGGGCTCAAGCGGTTCTCATGGCTTGGCTTCCTGAGTAGCTGGGCTTACAGGTGCACCACCATGCCTGGCTACTTTTTGTATTGTTAGTAGAGATGGGGTTCTGCCATGTTGGCCAGGCTGGTCTTGAACTCCTGGCCTCAAGTGATCTGCCTGCCTCAGCCTCCCAAAGTACTGGGATTACAGGTGTGAGCCACCACACCTGGCCCATCACACTTTTTGAGTTTCAGGATGCCAACAGATCCTGGATTCTGGCATCTGGATTATGGTAGCAATATTGAAAAAAATATTATAGTGGGGAGTAAAATTTAGGAAAACCTTGCAAATTTTTATTCTTACTCAGGAGCTTTGTCTTCATACTCCATGGTCAGCCCTGGGCAATTAAAACTTTTGTTCCAGTAAAGGTTTCATTCTAAAGAGGTTTCATTAATTATGAAAAATTCCCCGTGGGCATTACATTGTGAATCCTTTTGTAGCTATCATAAATAATGAAGGAAAAACACTTGTCAAAATATAGCAGAGGTGACTAGATAATGCATCTCTCCTTTGATTTTTGATGGGTTTCCTTTTTTAATTTCTAAAGGAATAACTCTTGCTTATTTTTTTTAAAAAGTAAATACTCGTTATAAAAAATTCAAGCAAAACTGAAAAGTAAAAAGAAGCCAGCAATAAATTGTTCCAAATCCCATCACCCAAAAAACAGCTCTTGATTCATTCATTCAATGTGCCTTTATTGAGTGCTTACTCTATGTGAGGCACTGTGGCATCGGGGATCAGCAGGGAACAAAGTGAAGTCCCTACCATCATGGAACTTACACTCTAGTGGGAGGAGAAAATGATAAACACCTAAATAGATTTACAAGTGGCATGAAGAAAAATTAAAATGAGGTAAGAGCATAATAGAGAGTGTCGGGGCACTTTCAGATGGAGTGGTCACAAAGGCTGCTGTGAGCAGAGAGCTCAATGAAGTGAGAGAGCTAACCACGTGACTGTGGGGAAGTATGCTTCCAGCGAAGGGAAGCATATGCAAAGGCCCTGAGGTGGGTGTTTGCTTGCCATGTTCTATGACCAGAGAGGCCAGTGTAGCTGGGGGCCAGTGAGTAAGGGTGAACTGGGCCATGTAAGGTTTTGGAAAGCCGTTAGCTTTTCTCCACTGGGAAGCCATTGAAAGATGATGAGCAGGGCTGCAGTGTGGAGAGTAGACTACAGGGAAGCAAGGGAGGAGGCAGCAAGACCAGTTAGGAGCTACCACAGCAATTCAGAACAAAATGAGGCTGAGTTGCACTGTTCAAAAGGTGGAAGGGATAGGAAGGGTTGAATTCTAGACTCATTTTGAAGGTGGAGCTGATAGGATTTGCTCATGAATTGGATTGGGAATTTGTAAGAGAAGAGTCAATAATAACTCTGAAGATTTGTGGCCTGGCAGGTGAATGGTGGTACCGTTACTGGGGTAGGGAACATGCTGGGGTGGGGTCAGGATGGGGTGTCAAGAGTTCAGGTTCGGGCATGTTAAGTTCTAGGTACCTGTTAGATGGCTATGAGGAAATGGTAAGTCAGTTGGAGGCTGGAGTTGACTGAGAGATCTAGACTGTAGATACAGATTTGGGAATCACCAGACATAGAATGGAATGGGATCTGATAGGAAGCAAGGAGAGATAGAAAACAGATCCTATGACTGAATCATGCATGGGGCATTTCAGCATTTAGATGTTGGAAAAGGAGAGGGCCCAACAAAGGAGACAGAATGTGTGTCTGTAGCATATCAAGAGAGTGTGGTGTTCTCAGGCCAGTGATGGTGGTGGTGGAGTCTCAAGAGTTGGCAATATTTAGCCATGTGCAGGTCATTACCACCCACCACAAGAGTGGTAGAAGCAAGAGCCTGGTTACAGTGGCCTTAAGAGAAAAAGGGAAGAAAGAAGGTGGAGGCAGGGAGTACGGACACCATTTTGAGTCTTAATGTAAAGAGAAGCCACGATGAAAAGGTAGGTGGGTTGGGAGAAGGGAAGAGATCAAGGAAAATATGCGTTTGTTTGTTTAATAAGATGGGAGAAAATACAGTGTGTTTGACTGCTGCTGGTAATGAGCCAGTAGAAATGGAAAATGATGATACGGAAAATAAGAGTGTATAATTTTAGGAGGAAAGGGCTTGAGTAAGCAAGAAGGGGTGGGTTCTGGTTTGCAGGTAGAAAGATAAACCTAGGTTAGAGGCTGAGACAGGGCAGGCAGGTAGGAGGGGAAGGCTCTGGATTTGGTAATGGTGCATATGGACTTTCTCTTCCAGTGTTAACATTTGGTACACATAAACAGAAGGGTGGCTGGTGAGGGTGAAATAATTTTATAAGAATGGCATTGTACCATATGTACTATAAAAATAAAAATAACTGCATTTCTTTTTACTTGAATTTAACAGAAGAAAAGAAAACTGAAATGAAAGTGAAAGAGCTGCTGTACTTTTTTCTCTACCAAAGATAATAGTTCCTAAAAGTTTTCTCTAAGGTTAAAAAAAGATTATGAAAACTGTTAGGAGGCTAAAGTCACTATTAATATTTTTAAAGACATTTTTAGTTATATCTTCACTTTAGATGATTGTCTGGAAGAATTAGGTAATTCGTGTTTTTAAACTTCCTTGCACTACTCTTCCTATCTCTCAATTTTTATAGCTTATCTTTTTTTTTGTTGTTTCTTTTTTTGCCTTGGCAATTTTCTAACATTTACATTCCAACTTGCATGCTCCCATTTTTTGGTCTTGGTGCCATATGTAGCCACTTGTTCTTTGATCGTGGCTTTCCTGTTCCTGTGGTTTTTGTTTTGATTGATCTACTGGGTGCAAGATTTCTGTTTCTCAAGACGAGTTCGTGGGTGCTACATAGGCTGAGATCTTTCAAGTTGCAGAGGAAGAGAGATGTCTGAACCTTTTTTACACTTGAGTGATGACTCAGCTTCTCCTAATATTCTTGGATCACAGTTGCTCTCTATCAGAATTTTTTAAGACATGGCTACATTATCTTCAGGCCTTGAATATTGCTATGGAGAAGTCTGAGACCAATCTGGGTTTCTGCTGTATTTTGTTAGCAATCCATTGATTCTTAAATAACTCTTTCTTTATCCTTGAAGGGCAAAAATTTAAACATTATAAGTCTTTGTTGATTTTTCTGTGTTCATTTCATGATATATTATGGGCCTTTTCTATTCACAGATTTAGTTCTCTGGATATTTTTTTCTGTTTTATTTATTGTCTTCCTCTGCATTTATTGTGAGTCTCTTAAGCCTTTTTTTTACACACCATTAATTAGATATTTAAAAACTTTTTATTATAAAAAATTTCAAATATATACAGTAGAGAGACTAGTGTTATGGATTCTCATGTACCCATCATGCTACTTTGATAATCATCAGCTCAGGGCCAATTTTGTTTTATCTGTATCCCTCACCCATTCCCACTCTCCTCCATTACTTTGAAACAATAGCAGATATAATTTATCTTTGAATATTTCAATATTTAAGAGATAAGGAGGTTTTTTTTTTTTTTTTTTGAGACGGAGTCTCGCTCTGTCGCCCAGGCTGGAGTGCAGTGGTGCCATCTCAGCTCACTGCAAGCTCCGCCTCCCAGGTTCACGCCATTCTCCTGCCTCAGCCTCCTGAGTAGCTGGGACTACAGGCGCCCGCCACCACGCCCAGCTACTTTTTTTGTATTTTTTTTTAGTAGAGACGGGGTTTCACTGTGTTAGCCAGGATGGTCTCGATCTCCTGACCTCGTGGTCCGCCTGCCTTGGCCTCCCAAAGCGCTGGGATTATAGGCGTGAGCCACCGCGCCCAGCTGGACTGTTTTTTTTTTTTGGTGTTTTGTTTTGTTTTTTTAAACTTAACCACTAATAAGTTTCATCTAGTCTGTTTATAATCTTTTTACTAAATATATAACAACATTGCCTTGTGGTGTTTAGATCAGCAACTTCTTTGCTCCAAAGGTACAGTGAATGATGACGGTTGCTGGGCCTCAAAATAAGGAAGACGAAACTAAGAGAACAGGCCACAGGACTCTCCCTGATGTTGAATGGCAGCACCTTAGATTGGGCAACAGTGACATGAGTTGCATACATAGGAAGTGCCCACTGGTTCCTGGGTGTTCTCTGAATTTCTAGTGCTCACGTGAACTGTGGAGGGCAAAGGAGGAGGATACGGAATGTACAGTTTCTTTTACAGCAAGAAGTGAAACTTAGGCCCTTTCTGATTTAATAATAACCCATGAAGAAGGAGCTGAGTGGTTTGAAGACTGTTCTAGTTCTGCCTTTGGTGGCCATGTGGTTTATTCCACAGCTTTTCAAACTGCAGGTTGAGACCTTTTACTAAATCATGAAAGCAAATTAGTGAGCCACAACCAGCATTTAAAAAGTTATAGAAAATATCAGAGTTCATGACTAAGGATAAATGTTGTTTCATGACACTTTTCAGTTGTGTGCGTATGTGTGTGTGCATGTGTGTTGGATTGCCAAAGTTTGAAGCCACTAGTTTTGTTCAATTCCTATCACTTTCTGTACCTTCTTTATCGAAAAGTTAAAGGATCAAAGAACCTATGGGATAGATTTTAGGTATTATCAGAAATGTATATAAGTCGGGCACGGTGGCTCATGCCTGTAATCCCAGCACTTTGGGAGGCCAAGGCAGGTGGATCACCAGAGGTCAGGAGTTCGAGACCAGCCTGACCAACATGGTGAAACTTTGTCTCTATACAAAAAAATTGGCCCGGCGTGGTGGCAGGTGCCTGTAATCCCAGCTACTTGGAAGGCTGAGGCAAGAGAATTGCTTGAGGCTGGGAGGCAGAGGTTGCAGTGGGCTGAGATTGCTCTATTGCACTCCAGCCTGGGCAACAGAGCGAGACTCCATCTCAAAAAAAAAAAAAAAAAAAAAAAGAAGAAGAAATGTATGTAGTGCTTACAATATAATGTACCAGGAATTATTCTAATAACTTTATAAATATTAACTCATAAAAACTCTGTGAGGTAGATACTGTTATTAACAAAATTTTACAGAATAGGGACATTCTTGCATAGAGAGAGAAGTAATTTGCCCAAGGTCACACATAGCTAGTAGGTGGTGGAGCTGGCATTTTGAGCCCAGGCAGTCTAGTTCCAGGGTCAGACTTTTCTCTGCGGCCTCTCCAGTTGATAGCATCTCTAGATGATGGCATGGACTTTTTCCTGCTATTGCCTTCAAGAAGAAATGGTAAAAAGGTGGTTGCCCCTCTTTCCCAACCACATACACCTAAACATTCAGAGTTAAGACAGCGAGAATGAGGATTCTTAATTTGGTGAAGGTGAAGGAATTCGGGGATTCTTTTTGTTAACCAATCAACATTGCCAGCCTAGCACTAAAAGATTCCACTATGACAGACAACCACATGAGGCCGTATCTCAGCATTAGAAACAAATGGATGGGGGAGAGTGGTTAAGAGCACTGATTTTAAGAATTAAACACATCTAGGTTCAAATCCTGTTGTGATCTGTTACTGTCTGAGTGAGCTTAGGCAGTTAACTGATCTCTCTGAACCTCAGTGGTCCCTCGTTGTGAAATGGGAGGAATTGTGGTTGCCTTTTAATGGAGGCTTACTAGGCATCAGGCATGTAGCAAGCACTTTATATTCTCCATCTCTTTTATTCTTCATAACAATCCAGTGGAGTGGCTGCTATTACAAACTCCATTTTGTAGATAATGAAAACGACTTAGAGAGATTAAGTGTCTTGTTCAGGGAGACACAGGTACCAGGTGGCAGAACTACAATTAAAATCCAAGTTTTTCTGAATGCGGTCTATCCTCTTAATCACTCAGCTTTGCTGTGAACTAATCTCCCTGGGGTGTTTTGAGGATTAAGTGAGATACCTTTATACTTGAATAGTGACTCAATAGGAGCCTACTTGGCACATAATAAGCACTTAATAAATGGGATATGTGATTACTAGTAAATATATAAGATGTGTCTGCCTATAACTTTTGTGGGGACAGTTTACCTTTCCATAAAAAAAAAACTGTGGTCAACTAAATCAGTTCTTATAACCAACCAGTCACTTCACATGTATATTGAGTTGTTGAAAAATAAATGGTTATCTATTCTGAAGGATCTGCTGGGCAGATTCTTTCATTGGAATAAGTTTTGTCAAGGACGGGACTGTCTACCCAACATCCAGAACAGTACCTGTCACAAGGTAGGTGTCTTAGTCTAGAGTCCTTGAAAATATAAATTAGAGGGAGAGGCAAAAGCGTACACTTCATTTGCAAGAGTCATCCCAGGGAAGCAGGAATGGGGAGAAAGGGAAGGAGGGAGAACATAACAAGAGATTGCTTATAAGTTGACTATAGCTTCATGAGAGGATGATTGCTTGGTCTTGTGGGACATCTTCACATAACTATGTGAAGCTACTGCATCTCTGAACAGTCCACTGGGGCAAGGAGGGAAAATATTTCATTCGTCAATTTCTATCTCCTGTAGGTCAAAGTTTGATTCTTGGAGCCTCCACTTCTCTGTACTTGTTGTTGACATGACTGCTGATTGAATAGGTCACTCCAAGTCTCATGCTTCAGTAGCAGGAGAGAAAGCCTGGGTGGGATTGAGAGTCACACAGCAAGGGTAGAAGGCAATGCACTGTCAGGCTGGTGCATCAACAACATATGAAGGCCCAGGAACAGCCATTGCAACAGGAACTGGGCAGACTGTTTCAGCCAGCAGCAAGGTAGTTGTGTTCATCTGGGGTGATGCATAAACTGAATCTGGCAGAGCAGGCCCTCAATAATGATAGACTTCTCATTGCCAAGGTTAATGAGCTCTTTGCCTTGCTGTCTTATTTAAATACTCCATAGTTATTGACACTTTTGTACATCTCTCTTCATTCTTAATCTACTTTCCTATCTCTCCTTGCTTTGCTTTCCACCTAAATGGGGATATCCTAAGCCTACATCTTTTTAATTCTACATGCTGTCTGTGGACAGCTGCATTCACTTTGCTAGTTAACTTCCTAACTGCCATCTATAATATTTGCTGATGGCTCCCAAGTGTCTATTTCTAGACTTGACCTCTCCTGAGAACAGAAGGAGAATACAACTGCCTTTTCCAGTAGGATGCTTCGTAGGCATTTCACGGGCCAACTGAACTTCTTGGTCTTCTTTAATCATTTTTGTTTGTCCTTCTCACTGGTAACGAATAGGTGCTTGGTCCCTGCTTGTTGAACTAAACTTGAAACAATGTGCCAGTACTTATGCTAAGCTGGGTCCTGCACAAAATGAAGTAAACTCTCCAGAGCCAGCTCTACAGGAACGTAGGGTCTGGATTTTAATATTGATCTGGTTTGTTTTCAACTCGATTGTGTTGGAGCCTTGAGCACATACAGTGTGCCTCTGTCCTCTAAGAGAGTGGACATGTTTGAACTGACATTTGGTCTTTTCAGGAATTGTTTGGTAGGAAATTTCTTGGATTTTTACTCTCCTTGAGCTTTGACTCTTCTTGGGCTGTCCTGCTTTTCAAGACTCTCATTTTGCTTTGTCCAGAGTTTACAGAGCCCTTTAGAACTGTGTTTGTATCTGTTCTGCTCATCAGGCATGCAGGACCCTCTCTGCTGGCCCTGGCCTGCTTATTTACCCCTTCTCTTCATACTCTTCTGTGTGAACCTTCAAGTCACAAGGCTTCTCACAGCCTCCTGAGCTTCATCTGCCCATTTTAGCCTCTTTGACTTTGCTTTGCTAACTACAACCCTTCATCTGTCATCCCCCTCGCTTCTGTTTAAATCCCCCCCTACCCAAGGTCTCAAGAGGTCCATGCTAGATTTTACTGATTTCTTCCTCTCTTAATGTAGTCTGGGACCATTATTTTGGCACTTAGGATGCCAGTCTTATACTCTTAAATATTTTTGCATTTAGTCCTCCTTTTCTCCAATTCAATTGTAAGCTCCTTGAGAGTAAGAGACTGTCTTACATTTTCTTGTGTAAATATCTTACATTTTCATGTGTGTTCCAATGATTCATCACCCAGATCTTCCCACAGAGTTGGTGTTAGATAAATATTTGCTGGGTTTGTTGGTTGATTATCGTGGTCCTTGGGAACTGACTTGCAGCTTGTCACTAGCAATGAATCAGGAGCATCAGACTAGGTGACATTTCCCAGAGGAGCTGCTGGTCTTCACATCCTGCATCTTTAGTTTGTGGTACAAGTTAATTCTAAATTTTGGACCTTGAGAATTCTGTTTCTTAAACATCTCAGGCAAGACCTAGGAGCTAAAATTACTACTTTGGCATTTGATGTGGCAGCTTTTTCATTTGGGATCCTTTTGTCTTTAACTTGCTTTTGAGTCACTTGAAAGAACTAAGGCAGCCTGCCAGAGTAGTCACGATGATATTGAAATATCCCTCTCATTGGCTTTATGAGATTGCCTTCTGTGCATTCACTTGGGGCTGGAAAGTTAATGGATGACTGAACGTCTTTTGGAAACTTGTAGGGCCATTTTTCTTCTTCTCTTTCCCACTAGCTGGTTTCTCTTTGTTACCAAAGGTGCATGCATTGTTTTTAGGTAGTGTGGAGTTAATGTAAGGGGAGGAGTGTTTCTTTCTTTCATAGCTTTGGAATAATCTACCGCACAGGGCAGACAGTTTTGAAGATGGCCATGTTTAAAGTCCATCAGAGAAAACTACAGTCAAAAGGAAAGCCAGGGAGGCCAGAGTTCCAGTCACAACTGCCCCCACTACCCCCTTCCTCCCACCAAGATTACTGTCTTACCTTTGAACCCAAGGATGTCTCTTATGGCTCCAGTTTGCTGACTACTGTGAAGGGAAGGATGGTTTGGAATCATACTATAGAGTCATGGGCTCTAAAGTACGTGTTATTGCTAATGATTGGTGTTGTTATGTGCAGGGATTTTCCACTCATGGAATTCTCCTACTCATTTTGACCTCTCTACCATTCAGCTTGTATTGCTCATTAATGTTCACTCCATTTCTTCATTTAGACAGCATAGGACTCCATCCAGCAGACTTCCTTCACTGTGATCTTGCTTCAACTCCATTTATTACATTCATCATGACACAAACATTTACCAGCTCCATTTCTGGCTGCTTGAGATCCAAACTACTCTATTGGCCTTTGGAGCTATTCCTCCTCTTGCACCTTTATCTTTGACCAAGCCTCAGTGCCACCTTTTGTTCCAGTAAGGACATCTTCCTCCCTACCCCACAGAGAGGCC
Source organism: Homo sapiens (assembly GCF_000001405.40). Classification (NCBI taxonomy): domain Eukaryota; kingdom Metazoa; phylum Chordata; class Mammalia; order Primates; family Hominidae; genus Homo; species Homo sapiens. Next base: position 206,294,976 of record NC_000001.11, read on the forward strand.
ACGCTCAAACATTCCTATCTCTTGGTGTACGTTTTCTCTTACTCTGGAATATCCTCTCCTCACCCTTCATTTACTGAAATCCTACTCTTCCTCAGAATACTACTTCAGATTTCTGTTTCCTTCCCTTTCTCTCTCTCTTTCTCCTCTCCTGCCTTCCCTCCACAAACTTGGAGGCCTACTATAATGCTAGGTGTTGTTCTGGGTCCCACAAGTACATTAGTCAACTGAACAGACAAATTTATTCTTTTTTTTTATTTTTATTTTTTGAGATGGAGTCTCTCCCTGTCGCCCAGGCTGGAGTGCAATGGTGTGATCTCAGCTCACTGTAACCTCTGCCTCCTGGGTTCAAGCGATTCTCCTGCCTCACCCTCCCAAGTAGCTAGGATTACAGGTGTGTGCCACCATGCCTGGCTAATTTTTTGTATCTTTCGTAGTGATGGGGTTTTACCATGTTGGCCAGGCTAGTCTCAAACTCCTGACCTCGTGATCTGCCTGCCTCGGCCTCACAAAGTGCTGGGATTACAGGTGTGAGCCACTGTGCTCGACCAAATTTCTTCTTTTCAAGAAGTTTAGACTACCTCCAGAAGCCTGACTATAGTAATGGGATTCCCCACTGATCTTCCTGAGCTTTCAACACTTTCATTGTAGTATTTATTCTTAATTTCATGTCCTTATAGTATACAATAACATAATTTCTGTACTATATAATTATATATCTTGTGCAATTATGTAATATGAATTGTTATGTGAAATTTTGAAATGTATATTTGGATCATGTCTTCACAATTAGATTGTAATTTCTTGAGAACAGGGACCTTCATACTTCAGAAATCCTCACTTTATCCATTACAGCCCCTTTGCAAGGGACCAAAAATCCAAGGCAAAGTGGTTTTTTTGTTTGTTTCTTTTTTATATATCTTTTATTTTATTTATTTTATTTTTTTGAGATGAGGTCTTGCTATGTTGACCAGGCTGGTCTCAGACTTCCGGCTTCAAGCAGTCCTCCCATCTGGGCCTCCCAAAGTGCTAGGATTACAGGTGTGAGCCACCATGCCTGGCCTAGGCAAAGTGTTTTAAGCGAAAATTGAATGAATTGACTTGTGTCACTGAAAGGTCCAGGGATAGGGCTGGCTTCTCATCGTGACTTCATTCAGATACTCATGTTTCCTTCTCCCCATCTCTCAGCTCTGCTTCTCTGGGCCAACTCCATTCTCAAATGGGCTTTCCACTCACGGTAGCAAGATGGTAGTGGCAGTGTCACACTCTCTTTGTCCCCAGGTCTTCCATCTCCCAGCCAAGGCCTGGATTTGAGAAAGCACACTATCTTTGGAGAGGGCAGGGGTGGGATCAGTTTTACTGAAAGCATGTGGACCGAGAGTGGGGAAAACATGGATATAAGGAATGAAAAACAATTATTTCAGAAACATAATAGCTATTTGTTGGTTGGTTGTGCCTTATGTATTTAGTTTTTTGAGACAGGGTGTTGCTCTGTCACCCAGGCTGGAGTATAGTGGCACAATCACGGCTCACTGTGGCCTTGACCTCCTGGGCTCAAGCAAGCCTCCCACCTCAGCCTCCCAAGTAGCTGGGACTAAAGGCATGCACCACCACCCCCAGCTAACTTAAAAAAAAATTTTGTAGAGCTGGGATTTTGCCATGTTGCCCAGGCTCGTCTGGAACTCCTGAGCTCTAGTAATCGGCCCACCTCGGCTTCCCAAAGTCCCGGGATTACAGGGGTGAGCCACTGTGCCTGGCCTGTTTTGTGCCTTACTTAATAGAGTAAAGTAATGCAGAAAAAGACTATCAGTCACACTCTTTGAGGAAGAATATTTGCTGTTTCCTAGTTTACTGAAAGTATCTTGATGGCCTTTTCTTGGAAACTGACTACCCATAGGTAAGTAATGTCAGTCACTGAGGATGTGTTATAGCACATATAACACATTGAGGGTGGTGCTGTGTCTCTCTCTCTGCTCTGTGCGCATACTCATTTGTTTATATTATTATTTAACCTTGTTTGTTACCGTTTTTTTCTTCTTTCTTCTCCACTACCCTGCTAACTTTGAGGAAGAACTTTTTGTCTGTATTCCCAGAGCACCCGGAAGGCACTCAAATAGATGTTTGCAATGAGAGTAAGTAAAAGTAGGAAAGGACATTGGGAACTCAGCGACTTGGATTTCAGTCTTGGATCTGCAACTAAATAGCTGTGTGATCTTGGTCAATCCCCTTTGCTGCTCTGAGCTTTGGTTCTCACATCTGTCCAGCAAGGATTTTTGAGTCCTCCCTTTACTAAGTTCATAGAAAGGCAAACTAGCAGAGTAGAGAGCAAGACTTGGCAGGGCATTCTGGTATTTTGTTTCCTGAGGAACAGTTTTGAGAGGGGCTGATTACTGTTGTGATAAGAAGTCTTGGTAAGAGATATGGAGGGTAGCGCCTGAAAGCCTCAATTGTATTCTTATGTAACATTCTCTGGAAAGGTACTAGGAATTAATATTCCTGAGATGGCTGAGGTGTTTGTGAAGGGGCTAAAAGCAGGTGAGGCAGATTGGGTGGAAAAAGACTGGCAGTCAGACCAGGTTCCCAATGGGGAGCGCGGGCTGATCTGCTCCACGTGCTGGCAACAGAGCCTGTGGGAGATGCAGCTCCTGCCCCCTGGGTGCTGGCACATCAAGGAGAAAGGAAGGACATGCCTGTGTGACTCTCCTGAAAGATTACATCTGTCTCCTGGCCTGCCCTTCCTCCCCCATTTTCTCCTTAGAAATGTGGTATTCATGACTTAATCAGAGAAAATTCCTGAAGAAGAAGATGAATTTTGAAAGGAGGAAAGAAAGGGATCTCTGGATTGAAAGCAATAGGCTGAACACCCCCACTCCCTCACCCCCTGTACTCTGCTGATTGGTGAATTCCCTGGATGTTCTCTGAAGTGAGGGCAGTTTTCAGAGGACTGTGTCATCTGCATTGGCAGGTGTTGTAATTTGGAGTCTACATGATTGTCAGCGTGGCAGGGCCCTGCCTGTTTTTGTTAAATGATCAGTATCCTATTAGGGCTAGTTTTTCTTCCAGTTGCATGCTTATTGAGACCCTTCAGCATCTTTCTAAAAAGGAAATAAGCCTCTTTCTAAATACTAGGACGAGTATAGTTAGTGTCTCAGCTGTGGCCAAGCATGGGCAAGGAGGCAGCATTTCCCAGGGGAAGCTTCATGGGTGTGTCTGGTGATGCTGGATTTGAATTCACATATAAAAACACTCCCTGGCAGGTCTTTATCTGACATCGTTTGGAAATGGTGATCTGCCAGTGGAGTTCAATGTCATGGCCAAGCCTACGGCCCAGAGGGGCAGCTTCCAAGATTTGCTTTAGGAATAGTCAATGCAGAATGTGTTTAATTCATACACACAGGGAAATGGAAACCAAGAATCCGTTCCTCCTTTTGGCTCCTGTTTGTTGGGTTATTTTCCCCTTCACTGGCAGATGGTGCTCAACAGAATATGCTATGTGGTGGGGTTAAATTTTTTAATCTGTTTTTTTCAGTGAGATACAATTCACATACTGTAAAATTCACTCTTTTAAAGTGTACAATTCAATTTTTTAAACATATTCACAAGGTTGAGCAACAATCATCACTATCTTAATTTCAAAACAGGGAGGTTTAAATTTGTCTTGAATCTCTGCATGAAATATCAACCAGAGGTCAACTCTGATTCTCAGGAACCTTTTAAAGAAATTGGGTTCCTCTTGCAAGGGAAGCTGCAATTTTTATTCAAGTGTCATTTTTAAAAAAACATAATAAGAAAAAATGTTAGAGGACATTGGATTTTTCTTAGCCCTGTTATGTGATTTCTTTCCGCTATTGATGATTTTTAAATCTTAGATCTTCAGGTTGGGGCTTATTACCACAGCTTTGTTATAATAAAGAATATTTAAAGCAGAAACAATAAGACTTTTTGTGTTCTCTTGTCCTTTCTCTTCTTTGTCAAGCCATGCCTCTTTAGACAGGGCTTAGACCTGTCTTTTCCTCCTTTGTCACCATCACCTAGCACAGTGCCTCCATACAGGAAAGGCTCAGTAAGATTTGCTGAATAAATGGGCTCTACTGGGCGCTCAGGGGAGGCTGTTTGGATGTATATATCACTCCAGGTGACTCATGGCGACCTTAGTACTTTGGCTTTGTGAATAGCCAGGGAATTCTTTTGTACCCCTAAGATATAGCTGCTTCTAGAAAGTGAGAGCTTGACTTCTTTCCATGTATTTCTAGGGAAGGAACTGGCAAGGACCCCACCATCTCCATAGCTCCCAAGAATTCTCATCCAACTGTAAACCAGATGTGTAAAGCCTTCTTGAGTTGGTATCGTGAAGCATGGTGTAAGTGGTATGAGTGGTGTGAGTCTTTGAGTGTGTACACATGATGTGCACATGCATGATCGCCTAAGCACATGAGGGAACTGTGAGGAGTTCCTCTATGTTTTTAAATTGCCTCTTTCTTCTTTCTGCCCTTTTGTTTGTTGATAGGCCAGGGTTCAGAGGGGCCTTCAGCCTGGGCACATGGCCCAGGAGTGCTGGTATTCAGTGGCCCATTGTTTCCTGCCCCTTGTGTGCATGAACGGGGACTGGGGCCAGCATAGCTGCCTTCTTGGGGACCATTGTTTGTCTTTGTAGGAGCAGCAGCAGCAGCAGCGCCTAAGGCAGCACATTTTTCCCTGGATAGAACAACTGTTCTGTCTTGGAGCTGTACGCCTAAGAGTGAGAGTAGTTAGAATTTCCCTTAATGCCTGTATGGATGCTTTGAAGATGGTAACAAGGGAGGCATCTTCTTCTTTCTGCTTCCTTTCTTCTTTTGCCTTCTTCCTTCTTCATTCTCTTTCTTCTTTCTTTTTCTCCTCCTTTTCCTTCTCCTTCTCCACCTCCTGTTCTTCCTTCCTTTTCCTCCTTCTTCTTCTTCCTCTTCCTCTTCTTCTTTTTGGCCAGTTGTGAGGGAGGGGAGATGCTCATGGTGTCATATCACAAATAAACCACACTAGCAGGTGGTATCTATTAACAGAGCCTCTTTTTTTTCCTGGATCAGGGGTGGGGATATTGCTTTCTCACTGTCTCTGTCCTCTGGGCTTCCTGGTAGACCTCAGGGTGTACTCACAGGACAAGAAAAGCACTTCCCCCTAAGCTGTCCTGTAGAGTAGATCTAGGAAGTGGGGAAGGGATCCAGTGTGGTTGTGGACAGATTGAAACAGAGCTAGCTGGTGAGTCGGTGGGCAAGTCCAAACTTGTCTTAGGGGCCTGAATCAACCCTCAGCTGGAAAGTGGAAAAGGCGATGTTCCAGGAGTTAAGAGTCATGGTCACTGTGATTTACACAGAGATATTTTCAGAGACTCCAAACTGGTGTTCTATTTCTCTTGTTTTTGTTTCTCTGACCTACTATTAACCTCTTTGACAAGTCAGACAAACCTTAATTTAGCTCCAGCTCCTGTTGCATAATTGTTGACCCTTTGGTAAATTACTTAAAGAGTCTTACTTCAGTTTTCTCCTTAGTGTAATCAGGATAATTGTGGATACCTTACAGACTACCTGTGAGAATTAAATGAGATGATACATAGAAAGGCCTATAAAATGTATTCAATAAACACATGCTCCCATCCCTTCAGGGTTCCAGAGGGAGTACCTGTGATGCAGCATATACTCTGCTGCCCTCATTGAGGCACCTGCAAAATCAGGCTGGAATTCCTTGCTGGCTGGATGTGCTTGGGGGTTTCTTATATTAAATCACATATCTCAGAGGCCTCCTATTAAGTACTTGTTCCTTGGACAGGCTAACTCTGGAGTGGCCTACTTCTGGAACTTCATGGGACTTTGCCTTGTCCTCTCTTTTTTTGGCAGAGGGTGGGTGTCATCCAACTAACTATTCCTTTCTATTCCCCTGGTGAGTGAGATTACTGAGGTAAATTCTTGAGTGCATTACAGGGGACTCAGAGGGACCTGACAGCCTTACTGCCCATCCATATCCCCTGTACATCTGTTACTGATTCAGTACCTGGAAAGCCTTTCCACCCTAAAAACGCCTTGGTTCTTTTTTGTTGTTGTTTGTTTGAGATGGAGTCTCGCTCTGTCGCCCAGGCTGGAGTGCAGTGGTGCGATCTCTGCTCAGTGCAAGCTCCGCCTCCCGGGTTCACGCCATTCTCCCGCCTCAGCCTCCCCAGTAGTTGGGACCACAGGCACCTGCCACCATGCCTGGCTAATTTTTTTTTTGTATTTTTAGTAGAGACAGGGTTTCACCATGTTAGCCAGGATGGTCTCGATCTCCTGACCTTGTGATCCGCCCGCCTCGGCCTCCCAAAGTGCTGGGATTACAGGCGTGAGCCACCGCGCCTGGCACTTGGTTCTTACTGAACGGATGGAATTTAAGTAATATTAGTAAGCATTCTGAATGCCCTCTCAATGTACAGTCTGCCCACCCAATGGCTATTACTATCAGCTTTTCACTAATATATTGAAGGGGGACAGATGCCTACAGGAATAGTCTCAACAAGGGCTGTTCCCTTTAAGAGACCCAGAAATCCCTGGCAAGAACCAGATGCCTGACATAACCTCTGCAGATCTTTACCCCCAATACCCTTGTAATCAGACTCCGTAAAACACAGAACAAGAGAGCTTTGATGAGTGATGAGGTAGGCAGCTTTTCTGCACAGCCTTCTGTCTGCTTGAAACAATCCTCCGGAGCTCAGTTTCAGTTCAGGTGAGGTTACTGCAGGGCTGGTTGGCATTGGTGGTTGACAGGGAGAGAGATGAGGATGAAGAGGGTGAGAATTGCGCTTACAGATCACCTGAGATCATCTGCAAAGGACATACTGATATTTGTAAAAACAGCAACAAAAATGTAGATGGGGACAGATTGTGGAGCCTCGACTACTTTAAGGCAAAGCTAAACGCACCATTTACCCATCCTCATTGCTTCAAGAACATTTCAGCATCATAGTTCTGATCCTGATTTGCCTCTGATTTATCTGCAGCTCACGTGAAAACTCTAGACCCCCTCTCCCCATAATGATGCATTACATAGCATTACATAGCATAGACAGAAAGCATTGTTGCAACTGTGCTATTTGGGAATGAATTTGGGGCACACATAAGGAAAGGCATAATATAGGTGCTCCTTTTCTGTGGGATTGGAGTCACTGTCACATCCTAATGCATTTGGAGCTGAGCAGGCTTGCAGAGGGAAAAGATGAAAGAAATGGCTCCATTCTGACTCAGATGGGGATTGGGACATAACTTCAGCAGGATACACACTGCAAGCCTTCTCTGAGCTGGAAATCAGTCTGGCTTTGGCATACTGCTTCCTGTGAGTGCCAGGTCTCTTGTCAGTAACAAATGCAGTGCTGCATTTGAGGCAGATCTGTTCGCATCTATAGCTGCCTTTGCAGCAGTTCCAGAGAGAGTGTTTGCTAGCTCCATACAAGGACCCTGACCAGCCAGAAATCTGCATGCTAGAGCTTAACCAGAAGTATTTCTAGCTATGACACTATAGAGGCACTACAGCATCTATGAAGATTAAGCAACACAGATATGAGTGATATTTGTTAGTGAAAAAAATCTCTTTCCAAGTCTTCTTAAAAAATGATTTTCATTCTGTGATATTGGAAACTGTGAAATCTGATTGACAGTGAATGGTTTGCCTGCCCAGAAGTTCTTGTGCTTGTTTTGTTTTGATTGCTACCATTTGACCTTGGGAGATTTTCTTCCTATCTCCATTAAAATATCCTGACCTTCATCCTACTTCATGAAGATGGTAAACAACATTTTGAAATGATGGGGAAAAATGCAAAAAGTAGGAGCATGGTCTCTAAAGTCAGTCTCTTGGGGTTTGAATCCCAGCTTCACCACTTAAAAGTTTGACTTCTTCAAGACTCTGTTTTCTCATTTTTAAAATGGGGATGAGGTAGTACCTGCCTCATAGGATGGTTGGGGTGATAATTCATTTGGGCCCTCTGCCAGAAGACAACCCAGATTCTGGCTCTGTGCCACTAGAAACATAGTAATATAAATGGTAGATAGGAATGTTATTATTTTTAATAAGCAGCTTCTCATAAGTGATTCAGCAGATTCCTGGTTCACAATGTTCTTTAATGGTGTAAAAAGGGTTGGCATTTTTGGAGGTGCCTCACATCCTATGGCCAGTTTAGACTTTAGGCTTTTTTGTTCAGGGCTTTCAATTTCCCAGGGCACGGGGAATAAGTAAGTGGAAGGTGGGTGAATATTGGCATGCATGGTGGCTTATTTAGGGCGGTCTTTCTGACTGTCTTCTCTTGTTTTTGTTGTAGAGATCCGTGCTCAGCTCACAGAGCAGATGAAATGCCTGGACCAGCAGTGTGAGCTTCGGGTGCAACTGTTGCAGGACCTCCAGGACTTCTTCCGAAAGAAGGCAGAGATTGAGATGGACTACTCCCGCAACCTGGAGAAGCTGGCAGAACGCTTCCTGGCCAAGACACGCAGCACCAAGGACCAGCAATTCAAGTAGGGGCTCTGTGGCTATTACTCTCTGAGACCTTGGAATATGGGGTCCAGGGTGGAGGGGGGCAGGGTATGCCACTTAGATCCAGCTGAATTCAGGAGCCCCTGGCTTCAGATTGGTTGAAAGCCCTCAAGGACTTCTCGTTTTCCAGATCAGTCTTATGTGCAATTCAACATTTCGTAGAGATGAGAGTAGATGATGAACCATGCTAATAATAACAGCAAACTTGTTTATAGCTCTGTTGCCAGGCATGCTACTAAGGGCTTTACATATATGTTAGTTTGCTTAATCCCAACAACTCCATATGATGGTTATTGTTATTATCCCCAATTTATAGATGAGGAAACTGAGGCATAAAAAGGTTAAGGGGCTTAACTCAGGGTCTATCTTAATCTCTGTCTCTCTCTCTCTCTCTCTCACACACACACACACACACACACACACACACTCACACTCACACACCCCTAGTAAATAGTAGAGCTGGAATTCAAACCCAGGCAGTCTGGCTGCAGGGTCTATATTTTTAACCATTTCACCAAACTGTCTTTAATTAGAAGAAATAAATGATGTTGAGGCCATTACATCTAAATCCCTGTCTAGGTAGCTGCTAAGGTCTATTTCTTCTACATTTAGTTTATTTTATACAACTGGCCCATTCACTTGGTTCCCAGTGCCATTGCCCTAGTTTAGATCATCATCTTTTTTGCCTGAATGATTGCAGTATTTACTAGATCTTCTATAGCAGAGATTTTCAACCCTGGCTGCATATTAGAATTCCCTGGAGAACTTTAAAAAAAATACAGAAATCTGGGCCCCACTCCAGACCAATTAAATGAGAATCTCTGGGAGTGAGGCCTGGGTAACAGGGTGGTGTAAAAGCTTCCCAGGTGATTCTAATGAACAGCCAGCATTGAGGATCACAGTCCACAGCAGGGGTGTCCAATCTTTTGGTCTCCCTGGGCCACATTGGAAGAAGAAGAATTGTCTTGGGCCACCCATAAAATATGCTAATACAATAGCTGATGAGCTTAAAAAAAATTGCAAAAAAACCTCATAATATTTTAAGAAAGTTTACAAATTTCCATTGGGCTGCATTCAAAGCCATCCTGGCCCCCATGCAGCCCACAGGCCGTAGGTTGGACAAGCTTGGTCTACAGTTTCTCTCCATTCCAATCTGCCTGCTCCATTGTGATCGGAGTTAATCTTCCTGGAACACACTGGCGATCAGAGAATTTCTTTCTGCAAAACTTTCAATGTCTCTCCATTGTCTATGTTCTTTTTATTATGATTATTATTATTTTTAGAGATAAGGTCTTGCTCTGTCACCCAGGCTGAAGTACAATAGCGTGATCTTGGCTCCCTGCAGCCTCAAACTCTTGGGCTCTAGTGATCCTCCTGCCTCAGCCTACCTCCTGAGTAGCTGGGACTGCAGGTGTGCACCATCATACCCAGCTATTTTTATTTTATTTTAATTTTTGTAGAGACAGGGTTTCGCTATGTTGCCCAGTTTGGTCTCAAACTCCTGGCCTTAAGTGATCCTCCCACCTCATCCTTCCAAAGTGCTGGAATTACAGGTGTGAGCCACCACACCCAGCCCATCTATGTTTTTGATATCAAATTGTAGTTTCTCAGTGTCAGCATCATCTGTACTGTTAGAAATGCAGTATCTTAGGTCCTACTCCAGTCCTTATAACAAGATCCCACAACATAGCATGTGATTTGTGTGCACATTGACATTTGGGAAATGCTGTTCCATTCACAAAGGTGCACGCTTTTTGGCTTGGTCTTTAAGCCCCTCTACATCTGGAAAGCCTCAAACAGGTTTCCAACCTTATTTCTTGTTTCTGTTCCACTATACCCGAGCCAAACAGAACATTCACTCCAGTGGGTCACTGGCATCCTGTTACTTGAGGTTATGTGGTCAGTCTTTCCATCTTTGCATGTCTAAGCCATGCCCATGTCTTAAGACCCATCTCAGGTGCTCCCTGTTCCAGGAAACTTTCCTGATTCTCCCAGAAGGAAGAAAGTTCTCCATCTTCTGAATTCTTACAGCATTTTATTTGTTCTTCTCTTAGGGCATTCAGCACTATCTACCTTCTGTTATCTTCTCTGAGTGGACTGTATAAGTTAGTTTGATCTTCTGGTGTCCCACGGTGCCTAGTATAATATGTGGTGTATAGTAGATGCGCACTAAATATTGTGGAATAAATAAATGAATGAATGAATTTGAAATTAGTGCCAAGTGTATCTTATTTTCCCCATTTTCTATTTTTGTTTATTGCCTTAATAATACAGGACACAAATTATCCTTTAAAAGCCAGCTCTGTGCAATGAAGATGGGGTTAAGGTTGAGGAGAACATGACATCTCAAAATAAGCCAGAATGAAAATTTCCTCCAGAGGTTTTTTTCCTCAGAGTTTCTTATCTTTCCCAAGTCTTATTCTCTTTATGATAAGAGAATCATCTGATAAAAAAATGTTATTTTAGTATGTGATAAATGAAGACTTAGGGGAGGAATCATTTGCTTTAGAAAATGATTCAAAGTTGGATTTATTCTGTTGGTAATCTCATCCTAAATTTAAAATAGCATTTGATTTTTAGTACTATATCATATTCTCAGCTTATGGACGTATTTGTTACAAATTAAGGTTCAGATGTGTTAATCTCCAAGTCATCTTGTGTCCGGAATTGGTGGGTTCTTGGTCTCACTGACTTCAAGAATGAGGCTGCGGACCCTTGCGGTGAGTGTTACAGCTCTTAAGGTGGTGTGTCTGGAGTCTGTCCCTTCTGATGTTCAGATGTGTTCGGAGTTTCTTCCTTCTGGTGGGTTCGTGGTCTCGCTGGCTCAGGAGTGAAGCTGCAGACCTTCACGGTGAGTGTTACAGCTCTTAAGGCAGCGCGTCTGGAGTTGTTCGTTCCTCCCGGTGGGCTTGTGGCCTCGCTGGGCTCAGGAGTGAAGCTGCAGATCTTTGCGGTGAGTGTTACAGCTCATAAAAGCAGCGTGGACCCAAAAAGTGAGCACTAGCAAGATTTATTGCAAAAAGCAAAAGAACAAACCTTCCACCGTGTGGAAGGGGACCCGAGCGGGTTGCCAATGTTGGCTCGGGCAGCCTGCTTTTAGTCTCTTATCTGGCCCCACCCACATCCTGCTGATTGGTAGAGCCGAGTGGCCTGTTTTGTCAGGGTACTGATTGGTGCATTTACAATCTCTGAGATAGATACAAAGGTTCTCCACCTCCCCATCAGATTAGTTAGATACAGAGTTTTGACACACAGGTTCTCTAAGGCCCCACCAGAGCAGCTAGATACAGAGTGTCGATTGGTGCATTCACAAACCTTGAGTTAAACACAGGGTGCTGATTGGTGTGTTTACAAACCTTGAGCTAGATACAGAGTGCCGATTGGTGTATTTACAATCTCTGAGCTAGACATAAAGGTTCTCCACATCCTCACCAGAGCAGCTAGATACAGAGTGTCGATTGGTGCACTCACAAATCTTGAGCTAAACACAGGGTGCTGATTGGTGTATTTACAAACCTTGAGCTAGATTCAGAGTGCCGATTGGTGTATTTACAGTCCTTGAGCTAGACATAAAGGTTCTCCATGTCCTCACCAGAGCAGCTAGATACAGAGTGTCGATTGGTGCACTTACAAACCTTGAGCTAAACACAGGGTGCTGATTGGTGTGTTTACAAACCTTGAGCTAGATATAGAGTGCCGATTGGTGTATTTACAATCCTTGAGCTAGACATAAAGGTTCTCCACGTCCTCACTAGAGCAGCTAGATACAGAGTGTCGATTGGTGCACTCACAAACCTTGAGCTAAACACAGGGTGCTGATTGGTGTATTTACAATCCCTGAGCTACATATAAAGACTCTCCATGTCCCCACCAGACTCAGGAGCCCAGTTGGCTTCATCTAGTGGATCCCGCACCGGGGCTGCAGGTGGAGCTGCCTGCCAGTCCTGCGCTGTGCGCTCGCATTCCTCAGCCCTTGGGTGGTCGATGGGACTGGGCGCCATGGAGCAGGGGGTGGTGCTCGTCGGGGAGGCTCCGGCCGCACAGGAGCCCATGGAGTGGGTGGGAGGCTCAGACATGGCGGGCTGCAGGTCCCGAGCCCTGCCCCGCGGGAAGGCAGCTAAGGCCCAGTGAGAAATCGAGCACAGCGCCGATGGGCCGGCACTGCTGGGGGACTCAGTACACCCTCCGCAGCCACTGGCCCGGGTGCTAAGTCCCCCATTGCCCGGGGCCAGCAGGGCTGGCCGGCTGCTCCGAGTGCGGGGCCCACCAAGCCCACGCCCACCCGGAACTCCAGCTGGCCCGCAAGCGCCGCACGCAGCCCCGGTTCCCGCTCGTGCCTCTCCCTCCACACCTCCCTGCAAGCTGAGGGAGTGGGCTCCAGCCTTGGCCAGCCCAGAAAGGGGCTCCCACAGTGCAGGGGGGGGTGCTGAAGGGCTCCTCGAATTCCATTAAAGTGGGAGCCCAGGCAGGGGAGGTGCCGAGAGCAAGCGAGGGCTCTGAGGACTGCCAGCATGCTGTCACCTCTCAATCTGAATTGTTCTAATTAAGATCACATACTAGGAATAGGGTGATTTCTCCAAGTTTAGAAGAATTGATTTATTTTCTGATAAAGATGGTGCTTGGCAACATTTTTTCCTCAAATAACCAGTGAGTATTTATTGATTGACCAGTTCTGTGCTTGTACAAGGCATTGGAAAATACAAGAGAAGTTTAGGGAGTCATTATGTGGTTGGAGAGAAGATTTTGAATACAGGAAGCAATTAGAGCATAAAGCAGTAATGATCTCATTAATTGGTGTTATGTACAACATAGATCTGATGAGAGGTCAGAGATGGTTAAAGGTTCTGGAATAGTCTGGAAAGTTGTCATGAAGCAGGTGGGACCTAGGCTTGAGAGGTAGATTTGTGTGGCAGAGGAGAGAACAGCAAGTGCAGGTGAGAGGAAGCAGGAATATTTGGTGATGAGAGGGTGTAGGGGCTAGTGTGGGATCCAGCTTTATTAAAGGGAAGGTTCCTAACACATTCATCTAACTGATTTCCATTGCACATTCCTTGAACTCCTTTGTGCCTTGGAGTGTAGCAGGGAACAAACTGCTACACTTAGCACTTAGCACTTAGATGAAGAAATGGGCATTTAACAAATCACACAATTAGATATGTAATTTAAAGTTGGGGTAAGTGTTGTGGAAGGAAAGTATTTAATACAAGGTGGCACAAGAACCTGGAAGAGGGCAACTTTTCCACTTTATAACTGGTTTACTCCAATAGCTTCCTGCCTGATCGTATTCTGGGTAACAATCAGTCTACTTATTCAACAAATTACTTTTAAATACCTACTGAGTACTGTGCTCTGTGTTGATTCCTATAGGAACTAACATAAACTTAGGAATTCCTGTTTAAGCGGAGCATGGTGACTTATGCCTGTAACCCCAGCACTTTGAGAGGGTAAGATAGGAGGATCTCCTGAGGCCAGGAGTTTGAGACCAGCCTAGGCAACATAGCAAGAACCCATCTCTACAAAAAATAAAAAATTAGCTCAGCATGGTGATGCACGCCTGTAGTCCTAACTTCTCAGGAGGTGGGAAGATCGCTTCACTCCAGGAGTTGGAGCCTACAGTGAGCTATGACTGCACCGCTGCACACCAGCCTGGGTGACAGAGTGAGACCCTGTGTCTTAAAAAAAAAAAAAAAAAATCCCTGGTTAACAGGGAAAAGAGCTATGTAAATAGTATAATGTGAAAAGAGCTTTAGTAGAGATATGAGAACACAGCTATTTTCAAGAGCAGTGGAAAATAAGGTTAAATAAGTAGAGTAGACCCCAAATGATAGCTCTTTGATAGCAAGCAGAGAAGTTCAGATTGGATGTGGCAGCATTTTAGTGGGTCCTCTGGGTTCTTAGGTGGGGAGAGAGACACGAGGAAAACAGAAGGCCAGGATGAAGGTTTTGGGGTAATCTACACACAAAGTAAGAGCAAAAAAAAAAAAAAAAAGTTGGGGGAGTGGAAAGGAAGTAGGAATATATTCAGAAGGTATTCAAGAAACTAAATAGGACTGGATAACTGACTGGATAAAGCATAGAACCATAATGGTCAGAGGTGACCCAGTGTCTCTACCCTGGTGACCTAGAAGAATTGTGGCATTCACGATAGAAGTGGGGGTGTTGAGGGAAGATCTGTTTTGAATGGTGATCCTACTTTGAACGTTTTGGGTGTAGAGCAGTACGAGGCCATCAGGTATCCAGGTGGAGACGGCATACTGCTGAGGTAAGAGGTTATGACTGGGGATAGCTAGCAGAATCTTCGGAGTAAAAGTGATTGTGGGAGAGATGAAAGTATATGAATTCAGGGAAGAGAAAGAGGAGAACAAAGAACTAAATCCAGGACCCCAGGCTTAGACAATAAAAGTTTTGCATTGGTAGTAAAAGTTACTATGAGGAGAAGCAAAAGCTACCTGAAGAGAGAGAGAATAGTTTTGTTTTTTAAGGCAAAGGGTAGAAGGTAAGGTGGGAAAGTGGCGTCTGATGGAACTAGAAGTGTTTTAAGTAGAAGATCTGTAAGAGCAATTTCTTATTGATACTCTCTCATGTATAAGGTATTGTGAGAGATGCAAAGATGACTAAAACAAGCCCCAAACCCAGATGTTTTCAATCTCTTAGGGTGAAACATATGAAATTGCTGGGTTTTTTTGTAAGGCAAAATGGCAATTTCATATGGTACAGCCTGGTAGAAGAGGAGATAGAACATATGTACAAATGCATTTAATACAGGCAAGGTGGTGAGAAACTCAATAAGAGAGGCTCAGGCAACATCCTACTTTCATGCATAATTTATTCCTAAAAGTGTATACAGAAGTCAAATGGTTGAATGTCTAACTACAGTTTTATGTGGGGTAGGTAGGTTCTATTATTATAAATAAGTGTATATGTGAAATTCGAAATTATCCCTCACCTGATATATTTTTAGCATTGTATACCTTGTCTTTAGTTCTGTTTGTTTTTCCACAATTAAACTCGTGGCCTGCCTGCTCAAGTTCAGTGAATACCTAAAGAGTCCACGTAGCTGATGAGTTCTGCCCTTATCTTAGTAGTACAGTGATGAGACCTCTACTTCTCAATGCAACATTAGTAACAGCACTTTTGTTTTTCCATTTCCACTCATTTTTGTGTTGCAAAAGATAACCAAGTGTTAAAATGTGTGCACAGCACAAGCATTGCTGTGCAGAGACAACCATCCTGCTGAAACAGAATTGGTACCTGGCAGTCAGCATCACTAAGACAAGCTTGAAACATTTGCTGGCAACTGAAAATTTGACATTGGCATAGGAAAGGCATCTTAGGCATGTCTGATTTGGTAAAGATATAAGTTTGGCTGATGTAATAGACCCCAAGTAATAATGGCATACACAAGATAGAGGTTGATTTCTCTCTGATGTCATAGTCTAGGTGTTAGCCATCCAGGGCTGTCAGGCTTCTTATTCCATCCCGAGAGTGTTATCCTTTTCTGTATGACCCAAGATGGCTCACTGCCACCATGTTCTCATTCCAGCCAGCAGGAAAAGGCAACAGGACGAGGGGCAGGTATGGCCTTATTTTTTAAAGGTGCACTCTGGAAGTGGCACACACAGCTCTTCAACTCATATCTGACTGGCCAGAACTTAGTCACATGGTTATGCTGAACTGCAAGGGAGGCTGGGAAGTGTAGTTATTGTTCTGGGTGACTATAAAGTAGAATTTCTCTAAATATAGAAGAAGGGGAAATATTGGGGGACAATCAGCAGCATCTGCCATGGTGTATGAAAGGACAAGTGTAGGAAAGACCATGGCCACCCATCCATACAGAGTGCCACAGGTGCACAAAGAAGAGAGATTTCTTCTGATTGGAGGACTGGATAGGGCTTTAGGGAGGTCAAGTTCAATGGATGGGAGATAAAAAAATTAAAATGCCAGTGCTAGGCATTGATCCTTTAAGCTTAATACAGTTGAGACAATGGAGAAGTTGTAGAAAGAAGGTGAAAAGATGGGAAAGGAAGCATTTTAGATAGAGCAGTATTAGAAAAGGCTAACAGAAGTGAGAACAAAGGCTGATGGATAACTTATCTGTTTTGCTGAAGAACAGGAATTATAAATGTGATAGTGAAATAAACCTGGAAAAGATAGGGGCCAGAAGATTAAAGAGGTCTATGAATGCCAGGCGACAGGGTTCGGGCTTTATTCTGTAAGCATGGGGGACCATTGATAGTTTTTGAGCAAGGAACATAATTATGGCTGTGCTTTCGAAGGGTAACTATGGCAACGATGCATATGATCAATTGGAGCAGAGAGACTGGAAGGAGGAGGACCTGTTAAGAAAGGAGTCCAGTGGTGAGGTTAATGTGGGCTGAAACTGAGGTCATACCCTTGGAAATAGACAAGATGGGGCCAAGTGTGAGGACAAGAATCAATGGAATTCAAAGAAGCTGGGACAGAGAAAGTGCTCTTGGTTTCCTGGGTCTCTGGAGTGACAATAGTACTGTATTTTCATTCAGTTGGTGAACTGTAGCCTTGATTTTGCTGACTCTAGGACTGGTCCCAGAATAGTTCATTCTCTGCCCAGAACATCTCAGCGGGCACTCATCACCTCCCCCGGAGCTGTAGCAGCTGTTGGGCTAGCAATGCCATGAATTTGTCTTCCTGTACTGCCAGGAGAGCAGCTGCCAGCAGCAACTCTGAACAGACCCATCTCAGGGACGTGGAAACTATTCAACTTGGGATGCAGCAGGTTGGCCAGGGCTGAATTCAGTCCACATGGATTCATCTCACCCTTTTCCAGGCCACTTTCTTACCCTGGCTGGGTTTCAGCCACTCATACTGCGTTAGGTTGGGTATTTTCTTACAGTTCTAAGTGATTGCATTTAGGGATGGACGCTGCTGAACTGCGTTCTTCATCTTTTGGACACCTCCTCCCCTGGAAGCCATTACGCTGTCAGCCTTTGGCTTTGCTTCCTACTCTGCTCTGCTCCTGCTCACCTTTTGTCCTCTCCCACATTGCGCTCAGTGCAGACATCCTCATTAAAGCCTGTACAGTTCTGACTCCATGGCAGCCTGACCCTCTGGTTCCATCCCTCTCCTTCTTTCTCCTTCCCCCAGAGAATGAGAGATGCTGCAGATAGAACTGTAGCGATTATTTGACCCTATGTTATTCTGCTTTGTTTAAGACAGGTAACATGGCTTCCCCCATCCCTGTGAATTGTGGGAAGACCCTGCTAATGTCTGAAATTCTGTCAGCCTGGTTTGATCAAGAGCAGTGGTAAAGTATTATGCGAGGGTAGGAAGCCTTTCTAGGGAAGATGTTCTTGCATTTTCTTTGGCTCCTTGAAGAGCATAAATGTATTCCTATTTGTTGCTGAGCCTTTGATTGTCTCTTTTAAGTGGAATCTGTGTTAATATGGCCCAGCAGGACTCTAATTGATAATGCATTGGCTGTTTGTTTGTTTTTTTTTTTAAATAGACTTGCTGTAAATTACCTTTCGGTCATAGCTCACTTGGTTTTGATCTCCTGCTTTTAATAGCTCATTTTTTTAGGTAGCTTTTTTTTTTCTGTTGAGTTTTTAGAGCAATACTTCTACATTTCTGTCCTGCTGTGTTCCTTGCAGAGACCTTCTGCTATTTTATAACCCACTGTCAGTATCTTTTCAGCGTTTCTCCCAGCTTCTTTCTCTCCTCAACACATATTTGTTGACTATTTTAGAGGTTTTGTTCTAAACTCTTAGAGGACAGAGATCCAAAGAAATAAAAGGAGTAGTTCTTTCCCATATGAAATTATAATCTAGTCAGGGAGAAATTAAATTCAAATACAAGAATACAAATCTTCAACATAAGGCTATATGTAGTAAGTACTAAGTATATGCTGCAGAAGAGATGAGGCTCAGTTGATGTAGACAGGAAACTTCAGTAAGGAAATGAGATTTGAACAAAGCTTTAAAGAAAATGGCTCTTGAGAGGGAGGGGAAGATACTCTAGGAAAAAGGGGCACAGCTAGAAGAAAGAACAAAGCACTTTTGAGGTACAGTGAGTAGACTGGTTTAGCTGGGAGAATAAGTGGATGTGGAAGAAGTGGACAAAGGTAGATGGGTTTGTATTGTGGAGGGCCTTGACTCTTGATTAGGGATTTGGCTCTATGCAATAGACACTGGAAACCACTGATGGTTTAAATAGGTATGAACTCTGATTAAGGAAGATTAACCTAGTGGTAGTTTGCTAAATGACAAGAAACATGAGACCAAGGAAACCAGTTGCTGCAGTAGATCATAAGGATCTAAATTAGGTTGGGATGGTAGGAATGAAAAGAAGGGGAATTTATCCTTCTGTCCATTTAGCAAATATATATCTTCTTACCATGTGCCAGACACATGCCAGATACCCACCCCTGTACTCCTAGAGCTTACAGTCTAGAGACAGGTGGAAAGCACCTGGTACAGGAAGAATCTACAGGAATTGCTGACTGATGGGATTCAGGTTTCAAGTGAGCTTGGAAGCCATAAAAGAAAGAGGTCTGTAAAGTGTCTTTTTGACTTGGGTGATTGATAAATTAATGGTATCTTTAAAAGAAATAGAGAGGGGCTTTTTTGTTTTTTTTGTTTTTTTTTTTTTGTTGTTGTTGTTGTTGTTGTTTGGGTTTTTTTTTAGATGGAGTTTCGCTCTTGTTGCCCAGGCTGGAGTGCAATGGCACGATCTCAGCTCACTGCATCCTCTGCCTCCCAGGTTCAAGCTATTCTCCTGCCTCAGCCTCCTGAGTAGCTGGGATTATAGGCATGCGCCACGACGCCAGGCTAATTTTGTATTTTTAGTAGAGACAGGGCTTCTCCATGTTGGTCAGGTTGGTCTTGAACTCCTGACCTCAGGTGATCCGCACACCTTGGCCTCCCAAAGTGCTGGGATTACAGGCATAAGCCTCTGTGCCCAGCTGAAATCTAGTGTTTTTTAACAGAAGTTAGGAGAAAGAATTGTTTTTGAAGGAGTAAAATATGAGAAATTTGGTTTTGGATTTTAAGTTTAAGGTGTTGGAAGAGTATTGAAGCTGAAATTTCTAGTAGTTGACAAAATGAATGGCTGTATGCAGGGCTAAAGAGATTTTTTGGCTGTTGGTAGAGATTTGCACACGTGCACAGAGGGGATGGTTGAAACTGTGGAAATATTTGTGATTTCCAATAGTAAGGGTTTAGAAGAACAAAGGGGAAACTTCCTTTGTATCATCTGTGATACTCAGATTACAGAGTGTATAAAGGAATTTAAATGATATATTTATTTGTGTATCATTGAGTATACATTTTGGGAACCTAATTATGTATCAGGAATTGGGTTTAGTACTGGAGATAGAGAAGAATAAGACAATCTCCTATTTTCACTAATATTAAATTAGCAGAATATCAAGGAGGTAGACATAGAAAGTAAACTTTCTTGTTTGGCTGGTTATCAGTTGTGTCACTATTGGAAGTGATGTGAGGGAGCAGGGCCTAGGTATCTTAAGAATTTGGTAGACATTCAACCTGCAATACTCCTTTCAGTGGGAGGTTAGTTACACAATTAATTAAAGAAAAATTATTGTAGAGTCTGTGTTCTCGGCTTCAGGCCCAGTATTTGAATGTGCGCCATCTCTGTAGTTACATCACTACTGCGGATGGGTTCCTCCCCTGGAGTTGAGTTCAAAGTCATTCACCAGTCTCACAGGATAGCATTGGGTTGAAAAGCATAGAGTCAG
Source organism: Homo sapiens (assembly GCF_000001405.40). Taxonomy (NCBI): domain Eukaryota; kingdom Metazoa; phylum Chordata; class Mammalia; order Primates; family Hominidae; genus Homo; species Homo sapiens. Next base: position 206,315,227 of record NC_000001.11, read on the forward strand.
CTGGCCATGGAAAATGTTATAGTTGTGGTTGCAAATCGGAAAAGGGTGGAAGACCAGAAGGTTCCTCATTGACTTATGGAGTGACCTTGAGAAGGAAAGTACCAGGAAACATGAAGCTCCCGGGAGGGAGAACCCCTGACTTCCTGGGACCAGTGCGTCACTCACTCATTTTGGACATATTTGGGAGCTGTTTGTTCCCTCAGGAAAGATTTTGCCCAGATGTAGCATCTGGTGTTGCAAGGGTTGGCTTCCCTTCTCCATGGCTCAAGATGCCTTTGTTCAGAAATTAACAGAAGGTTCTTTGGTGTGTTTTGCATGGGCCCAGTTCATGTAGAACCTTAGGTCATTGTTGAGTCCTTTTTGGAGGAAGAGTTGGGAGGACTTCTCACACATGGGTAAAGCAGAATGGAAGAGATGCAAGAAGGCCATTTGGGAATCAGCAAGACAGGGTGATCCAGTCTTTGGAAGAGAGAAAGAATTCAGTTAAAAGTTCTTTGGGAAGCTTTGTGACTTTGTGTGGGAAAAACCAGAGCTTTGAGCCAGAAAAACTTGGGTCTGAATCTTGTCTCTTCTACTCCTAGCTTGTGACCTTAAGCAAGTCACTTAACCCCTGTTAGCCTCAATTTCTTACCTGTGAAATGTTGACAGTAATACTTACCTTGAAGGATTCTTCTAAGGATATATATAATGTATATACAGCACTAGCTAATGTTTGTGACTTAATGGATGCTCAATAAATGGTAGCTGATATAATTATCAGGAAAAGTCAATCCTGATAGTTAAGATCAGCCACAGAAGAGTCAGCCCTGATAGTTAAGATCACAAGTTCTGGGAACCAGATTTCCTGGGTTCACAATCCTGGATTTCTCCCACTTACTTGCTGTGTGATTTTAGATGAAAGGTTTTAATCACCTCAGTATCCTCGTTTGCAAAATGAAGATAATATTCATAACTACCTTATGGAGTTGTTATGCTGGTTAAGTGAATTAATAATATGTGAAACACTTAGGACAGCTTGGCACATAGTAAATGTAAATAGTAGCAACTATTATCCCTATCCTTAGGATTTGGGCCTGAGCACAGCTGTACTGGGTAAAACACTGGTATATTAGATACACTAGTCATTCCTTGTGCAGAGTTAAGTATTCCTAAGCCTGGCTGGGTAATATGTCAGTTTCCATTTTCTTCAGACCCCTGTGGGCCCTCATGAATGACAAATTCATCCCCTACCCTGATTTTTATGGTATAGCTACATTGGGCAGGACATAGGCAATTATGTGACTCTGTGTAATTGCATGGTCAGTCCCTATAAAAACTCAGCAATTGTATGTTTTGTTCTGTAAGGTGTCATATAGTTCAACCTTGGTGGGTTACTTTTAGATCCAGGCTCATAATCATGAAGAGGAAGACATTTGTCATACAACCACTCTCTGATTTTCTCGTCCTCTTGGAGTTAATAGTTAGCCCTATTGCCAAATTGCTGAGTTTCTATAAAGATATACTGTTGAGGCCCACAGGTCCCAATTTTGACTTGGGCAAATAAAAGAAGGCCAGTCCTATTCAGCCTCCTGCAGTATCTACCATCGAGGCCAGCAGGCCAGTGCAGTACAAACCTTAGTCATGAACATAACAGTATGTGGTTTACTGGGTTGTTTGTCTCATGAGGCCAAACAGAAGCTCCCAAGCTTCTGCATAAATGGCTTTATATCTTCCTTTTAGGGTAGGGAATGATAAGAGGGCAGGTTAGAAGCAAAATATGCTTTTATGAGCAATTGGGAGGATGTTGGAGACTCCTGAGAGTTTCCTGTGTCTCCTAGGATTTGCCACTGGAATGTCAGCAGGCCATACCTCAGGCGTTCAGCTCCATGGAGCAAAGACAGTAGTGATCACGTTCCTTGACAACAGTGCTAGTGTGCGGGGAGCTTTTAGTTTTCCTTTTCTCTGCTCCTGTAAGCCCCATAATAATTCTGTAGCAGACACAGGAAGCAATGTGTCTAACTACTACTAGGCAATGTGTTCTTGGGATTTTTAATTCTCAGGAATTCGCAGCCAATTAAATGAATTTACTTTGATCCAGTTCTCTTTTCAAGGCAAAAGCTGTGTCATCTTATTGGGAGCTGACTGTGTTAAGTGGGAGGGTTTACAAGATAAGAAGAAAAGACAGTCTCTGCCATACGTGTTTTTATAATTGAAATGGGGGAAATCGGGCAGGCTGAGAGAGAATAATAAGAACACATGTGCACAGGAATTTAAAAATAGCACCCCATTTAAAGCAGGTTCCAGTAGTCACCAGGAAAAGAAGAAAGGTGGAGTACTCAGGAGGGACTTGTACTTGGTTCAGTCAGGGAAAGGTAAAAGATAGTATAGTTATGTTCTCAATTAGATTTGTTCCCTGGTTAATTGAAGTAAAGACTTTAATATCTAATTCCTACACTGCACAGAAGTATCACACGTTGAAAAGAAACAGTGTGACATGGGAAGGACTCACTGTTAACGAAAGATTTAGAGAGAATGAAAAAAAAAGTAGGATTTGGGTTTTTCAGAGTTGAAATAGGTTCATCTTTTCTGCTAGCTCCTCCTTTTATACATCTCCACTGTCGTTGCTCCTTGGGTTTTAAATTCAGGGAGAATCAATGAGCACAGTTCTGCGTCTTAATATATTTAGGGTGCAGCTGTTTAAAGAGCCAGGATTAGAAAATGAATCGAACAAACTAGGATTATCTTCAACAGTAGGATGCTGAGCTGTGTTTGCTGATTCCTGCTTAAGCAGTCGGGACAGGGCATCCTTGCATGAAATTCAGACATCCCTCCCTGGCAGCCTCTGTGGTAAAGTAGAGGTTGCAGAACAAGTCTGGCAGCTCTCAGCCCGAACCCTTGTAAACAACAGATGTTCATAACTAAGTTCTAGGGTGGGGGTAGGGGTTATTGTTGATGCTTGAAATTCTTTGAATTTATAGGCAGCATCTCAGGGATTTAGCAAAAGGAGGAAGTTATACAGAATTGATTTCTGCAGTGTACAGGTAGAAATGATGCCTCATGGATTTCCTTGAAGACAAAGCACAGGCTATTGTGTGGACTCTAAAACAGAGCAAGGTGAACCCAGGAAGGCAGGCACAGTTAAGAAAGGGTTGGCTTCTTAGGTGTATTGACTTCCTCCCCTCCTTCTCCTCTCTCACTCCTTTTTATACATTGACTGGATTTGTCAGTCTTGTTCTTGCTCCTGTTTTCTCCGGTAATGCGTGGAAATGTGTGTCCTTTCTTACCACAGAGTCCTAGATACATGTGCATACAAATACACAGTGTATTAGGCCATTTTTTGCGATGCTGTAAATAAATACCTGAGGCTGGGTAATTTCTAAAGAAAAAAGGTTTGATTGGCTCATGGTTCTGCAGGCTGTACAGGAGGCATGGTGCTGGTGTCTGCTTCTGGTGAGGCCTCAGGAAGCTTACAATCATGGCAGAAGGCACCGGGGAGCCAGCATGTCACATGGTGAGAGTGGGAGTGAGAGTCGGGGGAGGTCCCAGACTTTTGAACAACCAGATCTCTTGTGAACTAAGTGAGCATGAACTCACTTATCACCACAGAGATGGTGCTAAACCATTCATGAAGGATCTACCCCCATGACCCAGTCACTTCCCACCAGGCCCCACCTCCAACATTTGGAATCACATTTCAACATGAGATTTGGGGGGGGACAGACATCCAAACCATATCACATAGGAGGAAAAACACACAGGAAGAGCACACAGGTGCACTTCCCTTAGTGCCCTCTGAAGGACGCAACTCAGGTTTTTATGATATACTGATTAATGGGTTATTGTTATGGGCTTTGTCTTGGATTTTAACCTGATACTTTCTCAGTGTTGGTTTTGCTAGATGTTCATTACTTCATTAAACAGAGGTGCCGGGTGCGGTGGCTCACGCCTGTAATCCCAGCACTTTGGGAGGCCGAGGCGGGCGGATCACGAGGTCAGGAGATCGAGACCATCCTGGCTAATACGGCGAAACCCCATCTCTACTAAAAATACAAAAAATTATCCGGGTGTGGTGGCGGGTGCCTGTCGTCCCACCTACTCAGGAGGCTGAGGCAGGAGAATGGTGTGAACCCAGGAGGCGGAGCTTTCAGTGAGCCGAGATCGCGCCACTGCACTCCAGCCTGGGTGACAGAGCGAGACTCCGTCTCAAAAAAAAACAACAACAAAAAACAGAGGTGAGTGATGAGAATATGGCTTATGAAGACTTCAGTGCTGCCTCTTCTTGATCCCCATCCCCTAGTCCCCAAGCACACATACCGAGTTTCCAGCCAGATGATAAGTGCTTAGGAAACCTTCTACTTTACAGCATAGTTCAGGGAAGCCATAATAGAAAAAATATAATACATCTTTGGTAGGCTTCCTTGGCACCAAATTGACGAAGACTTTAGAAAGGTTCTTATCGTACATCAGATGAAAAAAAGCGATTTACCAGATCTGGGAATGTTTTTGAGCCACTCTAGCAAAAAACAACTGGCTTGAAAATCTTTGATAAAATCGCTTATTCTTTTGGAAGCTAAGAACATCTTTGTACAATTTTTTGTTGTTGTTGTTTTTTGTTTTTTGCGATGGAGTCTCTCACTCTGTTGCCCAGGCTGGGGTGCAATGATGCCATTTCGGCTCACTGCAACCTCTGCCTCCCAGGTTCAAGCGATTCTCGTGCCTCAGCCTCCCAAGTACCTGGGATTACAGGTGCGCACCACCATGCCTGGCTACTTTTTATATTTTTAGTAGAGATGGGGTTTTTCCACGTTGGCCAGGCTGGTCTCGAACTCCTGACCTCAGGTGATCTGCCCACCTCGACCTCCCAAACTGCTGGGATTACAGGCGTGAGCCACTGCGCCCGGCCCATCTTTGTACTATTATTCCTTCTGGAAAAGAAGTCCACTTCTGGCTGTTTTGTCCATTTGTACGAATTTGGTGAACACCAATCCTGGTATGTGAGGTTCACTTAATCTTTCAGCAAACATTTATTGAACATTTATTCTGTGCCAAGAGTTGTACAAGGAATTAAATATACATAGAAGAATAAGCTACCATTCTAGCCCATGGGAGTTATTACTTAATGTGAAATATTTTAAGTTTGTTTATATACATTTGTATGTGCTCTGATAAGGCGTAGACTTCCAGGTTGAGGAGACAGAATTGTTGGGTTATGAGTCACCCTGTTAGTCACCTTTATTATATGTGAATCAGTAATAAACACTTGACTTCATTCTCATCGCTAATGACCAATAGGTTCTCTGCAGGTTTGGGGTCACAAAGAGGTGTAGGATCCTGTTCTTTCCCTCAGGAAGCTCATGGTGTCATGTGGAAGACAGAGAGTTTATGGGAAAAAGATAACACAAAATAATATACACTTACTGCCAAAGGAGAGATGGGAGAAATGATTTCATTTTTCTCCAGAATGCAATCTGTAAACAGTTTTAAAATTTTGCCATAATGTTAGACTTACAGAAAAATTGCAGGAATAGCACAAAGAATTTTTGTATACTACCATTTTATCCAGATTGCCCCAAAATGTTAACATATTACTACATTTGCTTTATACTTCACCCTTTTCATACCCAATTCTCACACACATATTTTGTTTTTCTGAAACACTTGAGAGTAAATTGCAGACATGATGACCTTTTATCCATACATACTTTAGGGTGTATTTACTAAAAATAAGGATGTTCTTTTGCATAATCGTAGTGCAGTCATCGAAATCAGGACATACAGATTGATACAATACTATTATCTAATCAATAGACATTCAGATTTTACCAGTTGTTCTAAAAATGGCCTTTTTTGGCAAACGAAAGTCCAAGATTATGCAATTCATTCAATTGTCTTATCTCTTTACTTTCCTTTAATGTGGGATGATTTCCAAGTCTTTATATTTCAAGACATTGACATTGGCCCCGTTATTTTGTAGAATGTCCCTTAATTTGATATTTCTGGCAATTTCTGATAATTTCCTTATTATTAGATTCAAGTCACACACTTTTGGCAGGAATACCATAAAATGTAATGTCACGTTCTTCTCAGTGCATCATATCAGGAAGCACTTGCTGATGATTTGTGCCATAACTGATGATGTTAAATTTGATCATTTGGTTACAGTTGTGTCTGCTAGGTTTCTCCACCATGAAGTTGTTCTATAAGCTTTGTAATTAATGTATATATTGTGGAGAGATACTTTGAGACCATGTAAATATCAGCTTACCCTTCAACTCTTATACTCACTAGTTTTAGCATCCATTATAATTTCTTGCTTGAATCACTTTCTATTATGATGGTTACCAAATAGTCATTTTTCCAGTTTTCATCATTCCTTCTACATTTATCAGTTGCAATTCTACTGTAAGGAAGAGCTTTTCCATCACCCCCACTTTTTGGTCTGGTTGTTGGTTTATATCAGTGTGGACTTGTGGATTATTATTTTATTCAACAGGTTATAATCCTTTACCATCTTTATTTTAATGTTCATATTGTTCTATATTTGGCCAATGGAGTCCCTTCAAGCTGGCTTCTGTGTCTTATTGATATGTCCCCATCGTTCTTTGAGCACTTCCTTACTTTATGGCACAACAAGATGTTCCAGGCTTAACTTGTACTTTCCTTGCCTTTACTGTGGAGTTGACCATTTTTTCAGAGAGCCTCGGTTGCTTTTAGTGGGAAATGGTATTTAGAAACCATGGATGCTAAATATGCTCTTTGTAACTGAAGTACCATTATTTATAGTCCCTTTCAGCAGACAGAGGTAGTAGATATATGTATGTACACATAGACACATACACACACACACCCATGTACTTCTATAAATAGCTATTTCTTTATCTGTCTGTATATTTATATATATTAAAGCCTATGAGATCATATCAGTATCTTTCATTCCAATCCAATACCACATGTTTTATTTAATTTTCTCCCCTTTCCTGTTCTCTGAACAGTGAGAAACCTGGTTCCTATTATCCATAACACACATTTTCACTTAATTGCTCAGTCCTAGAGTGTACAGAAAGTTGTTTCAGAATTACTAACCCAGGCCGGGCGCGATGGCTCACACCTGTAATCCCAGTACTTTGGGAGGCCGAGGCGGGCCGATCATGAGGTCAGGAGATCAAGACCATCCTGGCTAACACGGTGAAACCCTGTCTCTACTAAAAAATACAAAAAAAAAAAATTAGCCGGGCGTGGTGGCAGGCGCCTGTGGTCCCAGCTACTGGGGAGGCTGAGGCAGGAGAATGGGGTGAACCCGGGAGGTGGAGCTTGCAGTGAGCCGAGATCGTGCCACTGCACTCCAGCCTGGGTGACAGACCGAGACTCCATATCAAAAAAAAAAAAAAAAAAAGAATTACTAACCCATGCCTCTGAAAAAGAAGACTACTGACTAGATTTTAATACTGGTTTAGAGTTCTTTTTGTTATTAGCCTTGAGGGCCAAGACACAATGTTCAAAAGTTAGCTGACTAGTTCTTTCTTTCCTATCTTAGTCTGTTTTGTGTCGCCATAACAGAATACCTGAGTCCAGGTAATTTATAAAGAAAAGAAGCTTATTTGGCTCACGACTGTGGTGGCTTGAGAGTATAAGAATGTGGCATCAGCATCTGCTCAGCTCTTGGTGGGGGCCATGTGCTGCCTGACAACATGGTGGAGAAGCTGAAAGGCTAGGGAATGAGTGAAAAGAAAGCAAACACTAGGAAGAAGCTTGCTTTACAACAACTCACTCTCTCAGGAACTAATCCAGTCCCACAAGAGTGAGAATTCATTTCCATGAGAATATTAATCTTATTCATGAAGGATTCTTCCCATGACCCAGACAACCCCCAGTGGCCCAGCCTCTCAATACCACTTGCAATTGCAATCAAATTTCAACATGAGTTTTGGAGGGAACAAACCAGATTCAAACCATAGCATCCCTCAACCTCCAGACCTTCAATGTAGTTATATTATTTGTTTGAAATATAATTTGGTTTATTTATTTGTTTGTATTTAATGTTTTCCTCTCCGGAATGGGGTCTTGACATTTCTCACTGCCAAACCTTTTCTCTTGACTAAAAAAGATGGAGCAGATTCAGGAGAAGTGAGAGACCCATGTATCCATAGATTAAGTCAGGGCTTTAGCAGAAGTCAGTGATGGGGACATAGGCCAGACATGCACTGAGAACAAACCAACCATTTTCCCCTACTTCTGGGCCAGCCCTGTCTCTAAGCAAGCCATCTTATGGATTGAGACCCTTGCCAGTTTCTCCTAAGCCTGCTCCTAGGTTCTCCTTGCCATTCTCCCTGATCACCTCTTTTGCATTTAGCGAACCAAGAATCCAGCATCAGCATCAGCATCAGCATCAGCATCAGCATCTGCTCAGCTGTAGGCCATGATTGTCTGTACTGTTTACCAGCAGCTCATGTAATATGCTTGATGTAAGACCTTAGGATAATGTTGATCTGGCCTTTCAGACATGAAGCCCCGGGGCACTGCACATTGACACCCAAACTTGCAAACTTTTACGTCCTTTTGCGAGACTGTTTGCTAGTGCCCTGTTCTGAAATCCTTGAAATTTCTCCTCCTGGACTTTCTTCAGTTACATGCTTTGGCCTCTCTAATAGCTCTTTTGCATCAATTCTGATGACCTGGCCATTTTCTCCTGTCTGTCTGGGAATGGCTTCCAGAATCCCCTTCCTCTGCCCCATTTAACCCTCTTCCTCCATCTCCCACACACTCATTTTATTTCTCTTTCCTCCAGACACATATAACCTGGTCAGTGCTGCTGATTCCAGCTGTTCTGAATCTTGTGTACAGCTTAAGTTCAAAAACAGATGGGCCCAAAGTATCCTAGATGCTGTGCCAATTTCCACTGCATGAAAACAAATTACTGAAAAGCATCAGGAAATTTTAGAATAGTTTTGGGGTTTGATTCTCTATCTTCTCAATGGTCCTTCCTCCCCAACTCTTCCATTTCTCTTCACCGTCCCTGTCCCCCCATTATACCTTGCCACTTTCCATCTCTTCTTCATATTCCTCACTTAGCAAAGGCTGGTTTTTAAAACCTTTATTCTCATTTTTACTCTTTCTATGTACTGATAGGTTTAACCATCAGGATGGGACTGTGTTGATAATCAAGCTAGGGCTGTTGGTTGTTTTTCTAGACGTTTATACCCTTTTAAAATCTTCCATCTAGGACTAGGGACCTTATGTCCTTATGTCCTTTTCATATAGAGAAGGTAAGGCTGGGGCCTCTGTGTCTGTGGGTACATTTGTAGGTCAAATAATTCACCAGCTTGCAAATAAAGTAGATATTCTTCTATTGACTTTATCACTGGGGGGTGCACAATTGTGCCAGTGCCATTGTCTGCCCTTGTCGGGAGTGAGTAGACACTCCCTGTAGACAGGGAGCGTGTTCCTTGGAAAGCAGTGACATTGGACCCACACCATTGCTTTCAGAATCCTCATTCTGGGAATATGCCAACTGCTTTCTCCCAGTGTTCTGTAGGACATTGTTTAGCTTTGGCATTCCTAGTCACCCTAAAAATAAGAGGAAAACAATCATCGTAGTTGGACCACTTATCTTACAGGTATGTAAGGAAGACACTGGGGTCATTTACAGAGCATGGGGAGAAAGCTGTTGGCATGGTACAGTGGTTATTGGGTGCCCACTGTGAACAGACATTGTAGGAACTGTCTTCAAGAGAAGCCCTTGAGGGATAGGCTTCTAGAAGTTCAGGTACATGCTGGATTTATCTATGCAAATTATAATGTTTCCCCGCTTCCCTCCCTCCCTCCCTCCCTCCTTCTCTTCTTTAGAAGAGAATCCTCAGATTCTCAAAAAGTATCAAGCAGAGTCCTATGGATGGTAACTGAAAGAAAAAAAGAAAAAAACGATTCTCAAAGGGATCTGGAATACGTAATTATCTCCCATAATTTAAGACCATTACTCTGGAGCAGTGACTTTAAAACATTTTGATCATGAATCTCTATATTTTATACTACAAGCTGGAATATACTTATATACACATAAATAGCTGAGAACAATACTTTCACAGAACAATACTTATCTTTGCTTTGTGTGATGTACTCTGAGATTTTCTACTTTGTTCTGTTATTCTTTTTTTTTGTTGAGATGGGGTCTCACTCTTTCACCCGGGCTGGAGTGTAATGGCGCCATCTTGGCTCACTGCAACCTCTGCCTCCTGAGCTCAAGTGATCCTCCCACCTCAGCCTCCCGAGTAGCTAGGACCACAGGTGCACACCACCATGCCCAGCTAGTTTTTTGTATTTTTGGTAGAGACAAGGTTTTACTGTGTTGCCCAAGCTGGTCTCAAACTCCTGACCTCAAGTGATCTGCCTGCCTCAGCCTCCCAAAGTGCTGGGAATGCAAGTGTGAGGCACTGCATCCAGGCTACTTTTTTCTGTTATTCTCTTCTACTGTTGCCTACTTAATTTTTTGAGAAATGCTAGTTGGTGACCTATAAGTTGATTTTTTTAAACCTCACTAATGGGTTGAATCCCACAGTTTGTAAAACATTGCTTTAAGAGCATTGTTTTTTAAATTTTTTGGTGTGCATAAAATTACCTGACATGCTGATTTGAAAGGCAGATTCCTGGGCATCAGTCCACCCCTAGTAAGTTGTAATCTCTGGCAGACGAGCATAAGAATCCACATTTTAAACAAGCATTCCAGGTGATTCTGATGCAAGGTGGTTTGGGGTCTTGAAGCCTCACACTTACAGAAACTGCTCTCTTTTGCATTTATGAACCTGGCTGTTGAAGGCTTCAGATCACATGCTTGGGGATGGTAGATACTAGTGGGGATCATCTGACTCCAGACTGGGAATCTTCTCGTTACAGGATGACCCCAATCACTTAGGTTTACTTCTGGATCTTGATAATTCCTTGATAGTCCTCTTTTACTGATGTCTCTTATGGCCCTTAAGAAGGCAGAGAAGGGGTTAACTGAGGCCACAGAATAGAGAGAGTGAAGGAACTGAAGGGTCATTTTACAGAGTGACTGGGGTGTGGCCCAGTCCTCCAGTAGGTGCCCAGAGCCAGTCCAAAATTAGAATGGGGTGGGATTCAAAACTGCTTTTCCTATTCACTTGCCTTTCATGTGTAACCACATGCAGTGTGTCAACATGCTTTCAGGCGCCGTTAGGCAGCAGCAGTTTTGCTCCCTCTGGGTTCATGGACCCTTGGTATTCTTGTTATGTGTTGTCTTAGAATAGCTCTGCGCTCTGGGGCTCTGAGCATTGTCCATTAACTCTTTCAGCACCAGCCCTTTGAGATGCTAAGGGCTTTTGAATGAAATGTAATAACCACCACAATGAAATAAGAAAACGGTTACTAGTCAGGAGACCTGGATTCTTGCCCTGCTCCACCACTGTCTGTGTGACCTCAGGCTCCCTGAGCCTCAGTTTCCTCACTCAGAAAATGACAGGCTTGGTCTAGACTCTAGACCATCTTGAAAGTCCCTTCTAGCTCTGAAATTCCATGATTCTATTTTTGTACACTCTGGCCTTTTCTCTTTGCACATGATTCTTTCGTTTAAAGTCTCAGCTGCATTAGGCACAGAAGATTCACTGAGTTTGGGAATTTCCAGAGAATCAGATGATAAATTAATAGCAACAAAATGTATTCCTGGCCAGGTGAGGTGGCTCATACTTGTGAGCCTGGCACTTTGGGAGGCTGAGGCGGGAGGATTGCTTGAGCCCAGGAGTTTGAGGCTACAGTGAACCATGGTCATGCCCCTGTACTCCAACCTGGGCAACAGAGCAAGACCCCATCTCTGCAAAAAAAAAGTATGGGCCGGGTGCGGTGGTTCACACCTGTAATCCCAGCACTTTGGGAGGCCAATGTGGACAGATCACCTGAGGTCAGGAGTTCGAGACCAGCCTGACCAACATGGAGAAACCCTGTCTCTACTAAAAAACACAAAATTAGCCGGGCATGGTGGCACATGCCTGTAATCCCAGCTACTCAGGAGGCTGAGGCAGGAGAATCGCTTGAACCCAGGAGGCGGAGGTTGCGGTGAGCCGAGATCACACCATTGCACTCTAGCCTGGACAACAAGAGCGAAACTCCGTCTCAAAAAAAAAAAAAAAGAAGTGTTCCTATTTAGTATACTAATGAAGTAGGGAATTTATGAAACAAGTTTATTATAAAAGGAATTTTGAGATGTATTTGTCTTTTCAGACATGATTCTAGTCACTTTGTTTTGTGGGTATGAATTCATTGTGTGGGCTGTTGAGTAATGATAGTTGTCATAATTATAAGAAAAGATGTTGATACTGATATATAGTTGTAGAACACTTTCATGTTTATAAAGTTTGTTTAAGGGCATCACCTTGTTTGATTGGATCTTCACAAAAGTCATGTGTGTTAGGCAGGGCAGGTCTGCTGTCCCTGCTTATCCCATTTATTTATTTATTTTTTATTTATTTATTTTTTTAAAAGATAAACAGTTATTCATTTTTGTTTAAGACATCAGGAGTACTAATAAAGAACCAACTGGTAAACTGCTGATAATTCCATATAATATATCTAGCACTACAACTACACTGAATCATTTTTTTTTTTTTTTAATACTTTAAGTTTTAGGGTACATGTGCACATTGTGCAGGTTAGTTACATATGTATACATGTGCCATGCTGGTGCGCTGCACCCACTAACTCGTCATCTAGCATTAGGTATATCTCCCAATGCTATCCCTCCCCCCTCCCCCCACCCCACCACAGTCCCCAGAGTGTGATATTCCCCTTCCTGTGTCCATGTGATCTCATTGTTCAAATCCCACCTATGAGTGAGAATATGCGGTGTTTGGTTTTTTGTTCTTGCGATAGTTTAGTGAGAATGATGGTTTCCAATTTCATCCATGTCCCTACAAAGGACATGAACTCATCATTTTTTATGGCTGCATAGTATTCCATGGTGTATATGTGCCACATTTTCTTAATCCAGTCTATCATTGTTGGACATTTGGGTTGGTTCCAAGTCTTTGCTATTGTGAATAATGCCGCAATAAACATACGTGTGCATGTGTCTTTATAGCAGCATGATTTATAGTCATTTGGGTATATACCCAGTAATGCGATGGCTGGGTCAAATGGTATTTCTAGTTCTAGATCCCTGAGGAATCGCCACACTGACTTCCACAATGGTTGAACTAGTTTACAGTCCCACCAACAGTGTAAAAGTGTTCCTATTTCTCCACATCCTCTCCAGCACCTGTTGTTTCCTGACTTTTTAATGATTGCCATTCTAACTGGTGTGAGATGATATCTCATAGTGGTTTTGATTTGCATTTCTCTGATGGCCAGTGATGATGAGCATTTTTTCATGTGTTTTTTGGCTGCATAAATGTCTTCTTTTGAGAAGTGTCTGTTCATGTCCTTCGCCCACTTTTTGATGGGGTTGTTTGTTTTTTTCTTGTAAATTTGTTTGAGTTCATTGCAGATTCTGGATATTAGCCCTTTGTCAGATGAGTAGGTTGCGAAAATTTTCTCCCATTTTGTAGGTTGCCTGTTCACTCTGATGGTAGTTTCTTTTGCTGTGCAGAAGCTCTTTAGTTTAATTAGATCCCATTTGTCAATTTTGGCTTTTGTTGCCATTGCTTTTGGTGTTTTGGACATGAAGTCCTTGCCCACGCCTATGTCCTGAATGGTAATGCCTAGGTTTTCTTCTAGGGTTTTTATGGTTTTAGGTCTAACGTTTAAATCTTTAATCCATCTTGAATTGATTTTTGTATAAGGTGTAAGGAAGGGATCCAGTTTCAGCTTTCTACATATGGCTAGCCAGTTTTCCCAGCACCATTTATTAAATAGGGAATCCTTTCCCCATTGCTTGTTTTTCTCAGGTTTGTCAAAGATCAGATAGTTGTAGGTATGCGGCGTTATTTCTGAGGGCTCTGTTCTGTTCCATTGATCTATATCTCTGTTTTGGTACCAGTACCATGCTGTTTTGGTTACTGTAGCCTTGTAGTATAGTTTGAAGTCAGGTAGTGTGATGCCTCCAGCTTTGTTCTTTTGGCTTAGGATTGACTTGGCGATGCGGGCTCTTTTTTGGTTCCATATGAACTTTAAAGTAGTTTTTTCCAATTCTGTGAAGAAAGTCATTGGTAGCTTGATGGGGATGGCATTGAATCTGTAAATTACCTTGGGCAGTATGGCCATTTTCACGATATTGATTCTTCCTACCCATGAGCATGGAATGTTCTTCCATTTGTTTGTATCCTCTTTTATTTCCTTGAGCAGTGGTTTGTAGTTCTCCTTGAAGAGGTCCTTCACATCCCTTGTAAGTTGGATTCCTAGGTATTTTATTCTCTTTGAAGCAATTGTGAATGGGAGTTCACTCATGATTTGGCTCTCTGTCTGTTGTTGGTGTATAAGAATGCTTGTGATTTTTGTACATTGATTTTGTATCCTGAGACTTTGCTGAAGTTGCTTATCAGCTTAAGGAGATTTTGGGCTGAGACGAAGGGGTTTTCTAGATAAACAATCATGTCATCTGCAAACAGGGACAATTTGACTTCCTCTTTTCCTAATTGAATACCCTTTATTTCCTTCTCCTGCCTGATTGTCCTGGCCAGAACTTCCAACACTATGTTGAATAGGAGTGGTGAGAGAGGGCATCCCTGTCTTGTGCCAGTTTTCAAAGGGAATGCTTCCAGTTTTTGCCCATTCAGTATGATATTGGCTGTGGGTTTGTCATAGATAGCTCTTATTATTTTGAAATACGTCCCATCAATACCTAATTTATTGAGAGTTTTTAGCATGAAGGGTTGTTGAATTTTGTCAAAGGCTTTTTCTGCATCTATTGAGATAATCATGTGGTTTTTGTCTTTGGCTCTGTTTATATGCTGGATTACATTTATTGATTTGCGTATATTGAACCAGCCTTGCATCCCAGGGATGAAGCCCACTTGATCATAGTGGATAAGCTTTTTGATGTGCTGCTGGATTCGGTTTGCCAGTATTTTATTGAGGATTTTTGCATCAATGTTCATCAAGGATATTGGTCTAAAATTCTCTTTTTTGGTTGTGTCTCTGCCCGGCTTTGGTATCAGAATGATGCTGGCCTCATAAAATGAGTTAGGGAGGATTCCCTCTTTTTCTATTGATTGGAATAGTTTCAGAAGGAATGGTACCAGTTCCTCCTTGTACCTCTGGTAGAATTCGGCTGTGAATCCATCTGGTCCTGGACTCTTTTTGGTTGGTAAACTATTGATTATTGCCACAATTTCAGCTCCTGTTATTGGTCTATTCAGAGATTCAACTTCTTCCTGGTTTAGTCTTGGGAGAGTGTATGTGTCGAGGAATGTATCCATTTCTTCTAGATTTTCTAGTTTATTTGCGTAGAGGTGTTTGTAGTATTCTCTGATGGTAGTTTGTATTTCTGTGGGATCGGTGGTGATATCCCCTTTATCATTTTTTATTGTGTCTATTTGATTCTTCTCTCTTTTTTTCTTTATTAGTCTTGCTAGCGGTCTATCAATTTTGTTGATCCTTTCAAAAAACCAGCTCCTGGATTCATTGATTTTTTTGAAGGGTTTTTTGTGTCTCTATTTCCTTCAGTTCTGCTCTGATTTTAGTTATTTCTTGCCTTCTGCTAGCTTTTGAATGTGTTTGCTCTTGCTTTTCTAGTTCTTTTAATTGTGATGTTAGGGTGTCAATTTTGGATCTTTCCTGCTTTCTCTTGTGGGCATTCAGTGCTATAAATTTCCCTCTACACACTGCTTTGAATGCGTCCCAGAGATTCTGGTATGTTGTGTCTTTGTTCTCGTTGGTTTCAAAGAACATCTTTATTTCTGCCTTCATTTTGTTATGTACCCAGTAGTCATTCAGGAGCAGGTTGTTCAGTTTCCATGTAGTTGAGCGGCTTTGAGTGAGATTCTTAATCCTGAGTTCTAGTTTGATTGCACTGTGGTCTGAGAGATAGTTTGTTATAATTTCTGTTCTTTTACATTTGCTGAGGAGAGCTTTACTTCCAACTATGTGGTCAATTTTGGAATAGGTGTGGTGTGGTGCTGAAAAAAATGTATATTCTGTTGATTTGGGGTGGAGAGTTCTGTAGATGTCTATTAGGTCCGCTTGGTGCAGAGCTGAGTTCAATTCCTGGGTATCCTTGTTGACTTTCTGTCTCGTTGATCTGTCTAATGTTGACAGTGGGGTGTTAAAGTCTCCCATTATTAATGTGTGGGAGTCTAAGTCTCTTTGTAGGTCACTCAGGACTTGCTTTATGAATCTGGGTGCTCCTGTATTGGGTGCATATATATTTAGGATAGTTAGCTCCTCATGTTGAATTGATCCCTTTACCATTATGTAACGGCCTTCTTTGTCTCTTTTGATCTTTGTTGGTTTAAAGTCTGTTTTATCAGAGACTAGGATTGCAACCCCTGCCTTTTTTTGTTTTCCATTTGCTTGGTAGATCTTCCTCCATCCTTTTATTTTGAGCCTATGTGTGTCTCTGCACGTGAGATGGGTTTCCTGAATACAGCACACTGATGGGTCTTGACTCTTTATCCAACTTGCCAGTCTGTGTCTTTTAAGTGGAGAATTTAGTCCATTTACATTTAAAGTTAATATTGTTATGTGTGAATTTGATCCTGTCATTATGATGTTAGCTGGTGATTTTGCTCGTTAGTTGATGCAGTTTCTTCCTAGTCTCGATGGTCTTTACATTTTGGCATGATTTTGCAGCGGCTGGTACCGGTTGTTCCTTTCCATGTTTAGCACTTCCTTCAGGAGCTCTTTTAGGGCAGGCCTGGTGGTGACAAAATCTCTCAGCATTTGCTTGTCTGTAAAGTATTTTATTTCTCCTTCACTTATGAAGCTTAGTTTGGCTGGATATGAAATTCTGGGTTGAAAATTCTTTTCTTTAAGAATGTTGAATATTGGCCCCCACTCTCTTCTGGCTTGTAGGGTTTCTGCCGAGAGATCCGCTGTTAGTCTGATGGGCTTCCCTTTGAGGGTAACCCGACCTTTCTCTCTGGCTGCCCTTAACATTTTTCCCTTCATTTCAACTTTGGTGAATCTGACAATTATGTGTCTTGGAGTTGCTCTTCTCGAGGAGTATCTTTGTGGCGTTCCCTGTATTTCCTGAATCTGAACGTTGGCCTGCCTTGCTAGATTGGGGAAGTTCTCCTGGATAATATCCTGCAGAGTGTTTTCCAACTTGGTTCCATTCTCCGCCTCACTTTCAGGTACACCAATCAGACATAGATTTGGTCTTTTCACATAGTCCCATATTTCTTGGAGGCTTTGCTCATTTCTTTTTATTCTTTTTTCTCTAAACTTCCCTTCTCGCTTCCTTTCATTCATTTCATCTTCCATTGCTGATACCCTTTCTTCCAGTTGATCGCATCAGCTCCTGAGGCTTCTGCATTCTTCACGTAGTTCTCGAGCCTTGGTTTTCAGCTCCATCAGCTCCTTTAAGCACTTCTCTGTATTCGTTATTCTAGTTATACATTCTTCTAAATTTTTTTCAAAGTTTTCAACTTCTTTGCCTTTGGTTTGAATGTGCTCCTGTAGCTCAGAGTAATTTGATCGTCTGAAGCCTTCTTCTCTCAGCTCGTCAAAATCATTCTCCATCCAGCTTTGTTCCGTTGCTGGTGAGGAACTGCGTTCCTTTGGAGGAGGAGAGGCGCTCTGCATTTTAGAGTTTCCAGTTTTTCTGTTCTGTTTTTTCCCCATCTTTGTGGTTTTCTCTACTTTTGGTCTTTGATGATGGTGATGTACAGATGGGTTTTCGGTGTGGATGTCCTTTCTGTTTGTTAGTTTTCCTTCTAACAGACAGGACCCTCAGCTGCAGGTCTGTTGGAATACCCTGCCGTGTGAGGTGTCAGTGTGCCCCTGCTGGGGGGTGCCTCCCAGTTAGGCTGCTCGGGGGTCAGGGGTCAGGGACCCACTTGAGGAGGCAGTCTGCCCGTTCTCAGATCTCCAGCTGCGTGCTGGGAGAACCACTGCTCTCTTCAAAGCTCAGATGGAAATGCAGAAATCACCCGTCTTCTGCGTCGCTCACGCTGGGAGCTGTAGACCGGAGCTGTTCCTATTCGGCCATCTTGGCTCCTCCCCCCTACACTGAATCATTTATTTTGAGCCAGGGCTTGAAGCAGACAATCCAAGCATCCTTCTAAACTATCCTCAGTCTTGTCAACAGCTGTTATCTTCAGCTTCTTCAAGGTATCACTGAGATTATCCATGTTGCTCCCCGAGGGTGAGGAACCGGCGGGGCGAGGCGAAGGTCTCTGGTGCGGGCGGCGCGGCTCTGTGTCCTCCCTCTACCTCCGTCTCTATTTATTTATTTTTTAAGAGACAGGTCCTATGTTGCCCAGGCTGGTCATTTACAGGCACAATCATTGTGCACTGTGGCCTCAAGCTCCTGGGCTCAAGCGATCTTCCCACCTCAGCTTCCCGAGTAGCCAGGAGTACAGGCACGTGTCACCATACCTGGCTTCCATTTACTTTTTAAAACAGGTGAAGAGATTTTGAGACCCAGAATGCATTTGTGACTTGCCCAAAGTTACCTGGCTAGTAAGTGGCAGAGCTAAGCCTAGACTCTGGGTCTTAAGCATAGTTCAAGGCGCTTTCCACAGAGTGTAGATGGAGTTTCACATTTTTCATCCAGATTCCTTAAGGACCTGAACTTGCTAATTTGATCTACTAACCTGGAAATTGACTAGGGCTTCTCTTATACCACTCAGCCCTTTAAAGTTTTGCCAGTAAAGTATCAACATGGTTAATAATATGCTGTAATTTAGAGCACACAAGCCAATGGACATACAAATTTGGTCATTCAGTAGCCACCCAGAGAGTGAGCACAGATACACACTGGAGCAGCTGATTTGGCAAGATTGGTGGAGGCTGAACATATTAACTAGTCATTAAATGAATCATGGTCTTTCTGTCCTCAACATTTACAGGATTGCTTTGGCTCTGGCATCTGTTGTTAGTCAATACTGATTAAGGACCCACCTATTCTTGGTGATAGGTGTTCATTAAACATTCTAAATATACCCTGTCCTCAAGAGAATTCCTTACTGGGCCTGGGGGTTGTTCCTCCTGCACCCCCACACAAAAAGAGACTTCCTTCTAATAAAGGCAAGATAAATATCCAAATAACACATGAGAACTGATAATGACACATGCAGCCAATCTGATGACTGTGTAGACTTCATTCCATTTAGATCTATAGTTTCACAGAATCAAGAATTTTATTTTTTTCCCCTCCTTTTCATTGTTGTTATGAGCCATGTAAGGGGACTCATTGTCCCAGGGACGGGTATTTGGGAGGGGGAGATCTTTATGGATACCCTTTCTTCTCAGTGGCTTATTGCTATTTGGCATACTAAAGTACAATTTGCTAGCCAGGAGGAGTTTCTGGCTGTAGATCAAACTTCTCCGCTCATGCCTGGTGCCAGAGAGATGCTTGCTCTTAAGGGGGTGGTTACTGCTTTGATAATAAGTGTGTGGATTTCTGAGTGACGTCATTCCACTTTGGCACAGACAGGTATTTATTTCTCTAGAATGAACTACCAGGGGTGAGCCAGACTGTCTGCCTCAGTCATTTCCCAAGGTTTCATTTATTTTAAAAATCTGCTAACACATCTGTGTGTATTTTTTTTCTCTGTATGTTTGTCAAGTGCTATAATTACTTATAGGGCTTCTGGTGACATCTTAATTAACTAGAGAAGAAAAAATCAAAGATATAATTGTAGAGTTGTTCACAGGTTTTTCTATGGACTTTGTGGATCCAACTGTCAACATGATATTGATGGTTATGAATTCTTTTTAAGCTGAGAAACGTATAAATTTTATGTTCCTCGGTCATTGATCACACCTTTGTTCTGTCTTTTACCCTTGCTATGGTGTTTTAGTTTAACTGAGTGAATGAGTCAGCTCAGGCCTTTGATGTGATCACAGCCTATTTTGGGGGGCTTTCAGGGAGCATATTTAATACCTAAGTGCATTTCTAGGCCCTTAGTTCTATGGATTATATTGGGGTGGCATTGTAGCATGTAGATTGTACCAAGAGGGTTTAAAAGCCTCTTTATTCATTCCTCCCTATAGTTCTGGGAATGCTAGTGCTAACACATGGGATGTAAACAAAGGGAAGGTCCCAGGTCTACAGAAGCTATAGAGGGAGCTGGTGGGCAGGCAGATTTTCTAAGTCAGCCAAATCAGGGTTTTGCAGTGGGTTCATCCAAGCCAATGTACACACAAGCCACAAGACCAGGATAAGATGTGGGTTGTGGCTGATGCACAGTTTAGGAGCAGGAAAGCCATGTCTTGGATCCAGGAAGTCTGCAAACATGGGAGAAGCAGGTCAGAAAAAAGAATGTTGATCCTGTTATTCCTAGAATAGTGGCTAGCCCATAATAGGAGGCTCAATTAATATTTGTTAAATGAATGAATGAAATAAGAAGACATCAGGGACTCAGAGAAGGAGCCTGGACAATAAGATATCAGAAACTAGGCAAGAAATGTGGATGGCAGAGATTCAAATCTTGTGTAGACCCCCGTGTCTGGTCTTATGGGATCCATAGATCTATCTTAAGAGATATGAAGACCCTCCATTTGCCTCCTTTCTGCTGTGAGCACCGTGCCATAGGGGTGGTTGAAAGGAAGGCAGAATCTCTCACTTAACATAAATTGATGGAGACATTTCCAGTTAGTGTCTACGATAGCTTAAATTTGGGGACCATTCCTAGTTCTCTGACCTAACCCACAAGAACCTTGGTCCTATAATCATTCAGGAAATCGTAAGCACTTAATAGATGTCAGACATGGTGCTAGTCCAGTTCTCTACTTCAAAGCAGATTCCTAAGGTCCGGCTCTTGGGCATGCTGTTCTCTCAAGGGTGTGGTTCTGCTCCATGGAACTAATCCAGAGCCACAAGAATCTTATTTTCATACAGTCCTTCCCCCAAACCTGATTATAGGGGACAATTTAGGCTATTTTGAGAAGGTGGGTCTACCACTGCTTGAATCCTTTCTAATCATCTGTCTAGGCTACCGAAGACAATTTGTGGTACTCACTTGTCCCTGAAAATTTGAAAGTTCATTTCTCCATATGTAGACTATATTATTTTTGCCTTTGGCACTTTTCTCTGTCTCTGAACTCTCCTCCTCTGATCTCATTGCTGGCAACGCTGAAGCCAAAGCTGTGATAAGCCCAGAGAAGTGTGCCCGCCCCCTGCCTGCCCGTCTGTCTTTGAAAGATACCTTCAGGCTGCCGCTGTACTACTGGGTCACAAAACCAGCATCCACCATTACAGGCAGAATCGTTTTCAAGTCATTTCCTACCTTGGTGATTTTTACCCCCTCCTTCTTTTAACACCTTCCCCAGCAAATCCAATCCATCCTCTGGCTTATCTGGGTCAGCAAGGGTCTGATTTTATGCATGACACTGTCAGACCATAAATCCGCTGCAGCTTTGCCTCTCTATCCAGCCTGCCTGCTTCTGTCAGCATCAGCAAAATGCATAATAGAGAAAATAAGCCAGAAAGGCTAATAACACTCATCTGAATAAAATAATCTCTTTGGCTGCCTCAGTTCATTTCATTTTAATCAAGGTGCCAGGAGGGAATTTAGGTTAAAAAATCCAACCTCCTTCTTGTCACAAGTTCCCTGTCCAACCATCACTTAAATGATTCCTTTTATCATGCATGTACCTTTTTTTATTCACCACATACTTGTATGTTCAATAACATATATTGAATGATGTATTTAACTCTTTAAGTTTTGTCTATCATCACAGATAGGTCTGTTTTTAAAAGCGAGAAATTATATTCTGCTTAGATGTATTGATAGTTGCCATCTCTCTATGCAGATTGGCGGGTTTGATAGGAATTCTGAGACAGGGGATGGGAGCTTAGTATAAGTTGCTGAAGCATCTAGGGTTTTGGCAATCTGTGCTCCCTTTGGATTCCTTTCTGTCAACCTCAGCACACAGTTCCCAGTGTGGAATGCAGGACTGATTGTTCTACCTTGTCCCTTAGGGAAAGGACAGTGGGAGATTAAAATCTGCTCTCCTGTTGGTATCTCTCTCACGTCTTCCCAGAGCCTTACGGCTGCTTTGTTAATTGCCTGTTGCTGCTGTCTTACTCAAACCATTATTTGCTGAAGGCTGTGCATTTTCAGCAGGCAGCAATCTTGGCCCTGGCCCAGAGCCGGGTGAGAAGCATGTTGGAAATTGATGAAAGCTGAGTCCTAGTTTGTTTGGAAATAAAAATAATAATATTTCTTCACATTTGTATAGTGCTGAACTATTGGCATAGTTCTTTTGCATCCATCATTTCATTTGATCCACACAACAGCCCTGAGAGGTGAGCAACTTAGAGACTATTGGCCCAAAAGGAAACACACCTCGTTATAGCAATGCAGAAGCTCAAGCTATATTCCAGCAATGCCAGCCTCATGCCATGCATTCCATCTGCACAGCCATGAACGTAGCAATTATTAATTAAATGGCACCTTAGGTCAGGAGAGCGTCTAGGATTTTACAGCCATACTTTGAAGATCTTTGAGGAGTGAGATGTATACCAATAGGGCACGTGTCCATTTTATAGATGAGATGATAAAAACCAAACAGAGGTGATATGGAAAAGAACCATAATAGAGAGGCCAACTTGGACCTTTATGGACTTGGCTCTTCACCATGGATATTTTAGAGAAATCCCTTTAAGCGCTTGTTGCTAAGTTTGTTGAACGTCCATAAATAGTCCAAGGTGAGGGAGAAAAGCTGGTCTAATGTCTTCGAAGCTAATGATTCAGCTATGCAGGTTTATCTCTTTCAGTGCATTTACAGTGATAATGTCTTCTGCAGATGTACAGGCAGCATGTGACTTTCCGGGTCTCCTTTCGACTCCAGAGTCATTCCCTCTCAAGTACAGTATGATGTTTTCTTGATCTTCCTCCTGAAAAACATTTTAAGTAAGAAAAATACTCCTAGGTATTTTGTCTGCTTTTTAGGGATTAGTGTTTGAGGAGGTTTGCAGCTGCTCAGCACATTCCTAAGGGATGCAGACCCTTTCCTTTAAAGGCCCAAGTATTATACAACCTAAGGCTCTGGGGGTGGGGAAAGTAAAGAGACTGTGCAAACAAATGATAGATGGAAAAGATATAAAGACAAATTTCAATCTCCTAACCAAACGAAGTTCCCTTGGCTTCAGCGGTCCCAAATAAAATGAGGCTGCAAAGCTTCTGGAGCAGGAAACCACTCTAGCAGAGCCTTAATATGCTCCCTATGAAATCACGTCTCGTTGCCGTGCTTATTTTCCAGCCTGAAGTGTGTTTCATCTTTGTTCGTGTTGGCTGGGAAAATTGTCTGTATATTTGTGATCCCCTCCTCCCACTTTCTCTCTACCTTACTTGCTCTACCACTACCCAAAAATAAATAAATGAATTAATTGAAACACCTCAGTTGAAAGGAAGAATATGTCTGAGAAAGCTTACAGACTCAAAGGACCAGAAATATTGTGTGAAAAGCTGCATTAATAGTAGGAGAGGCTGAGAACTCCTGGAAGAAACAGCCAACAGGATCTAGTGCTGGTTTTTTAAGCATAGACTCCTTTTTTAAAATAAAAATCTTGCATAGAGCCTCAATATATGAAACAGATCAAAGCAGTATTTTTATTGGTATAAATCTGCTTTTAAAGTACAAATTTATAGAGTACTTATTATACTGTCAGTCAATGAGAACAATGAGGCTGTTTTCATGAACTAAAAATATTGAGATCAGGATTATGAATCAGTTATAGTTTGATATTCGTTTCAGCATCTGGTTTTGGTTTAGGTAGTCAGTCCAATATCAAGAAAATTCTGATTAGCATAGATAAGTTATTGTAATCTTGAGCTTTAAATTGATTTAGATGGAAAAAAGAAGATATTTTTGTTTTAAAGTTGAGTCACTATCATCACCTAGCAGCTATTCCCCTTCATAAATATTAATTGGATAAGCCCCAACATGTATAATAGGCATCGCAACAACTGATGATGAGATGGTATGATATTAAGCATGTTGATTTTCGCTACCCAACCACGGTCTAACATGAACCCAGCCTAGGCCCTTGAGCCTTCTATGGCATGTGATTGAACCTTGCTGCTGTGTGTCAAGTTATAGGCTCACCTGTACAGCTTTATTGGAGGAGGCACACACAGGCTTGAATGAAAAAATAAACCTATGCAAAGCTACATGTATTCTAATTAATAGCATATTGTTCAGAAGTTCCAAGGCATACAGTGATTCTTTCTTCCAGGGTTTACATAAAACAATGCTAGCAGCCTGCGAGACATTGCAGTGGTATCTAATGCAGGGAGACTGGGTCCTGGGTCTCTTGCTCATGTCAGTGAGGGTTGCTCATTTGAATGGATGTGTCACCGTTTTTTAAATTGAAATGTGATTTTCTGCTAATTCCAGAGTATCTCAGAACACAGTTTAAAAGCTCCTGCTCTCTGAAACCAATACTAATACTGTAACTATCGCACAAAATGCTGTAAGGATGGAAATAAATACATGTGAAAAGTACTTATAGCACCTTGCAAGTTCTTTTTTCTTTTTTTTCTTTTGTTTTGAGATGGAGTCTTGCTCTCACCCAGGCTGGAGTGCAGTGGCATGATCTCAGCTCACTGCAACCTCTGCCTCCAGGGTTCAAGTGATTCTCCTGCCTCAGCCTCCCAAGTAGCTGGGATTACAGGTGTGCACCATCCACACTGAGGTAATTTTGCATTTTTAGTAGAGATGGGGTTTTGCCATGCTGGCCAGGCTGGTCTTGAACTCTTGGTCTCAAGTGATCCACCTGCCTTGGCCTCCCAAAGTGCTGGGATTGCAGGTGTGAGCCACACCTTACAAGTTCTCAATAAAACTTATTAGCATTAAGTGATAAGGCATTTTATTTTAAAAGATTTCTACTTCCAGCCATCCTGTTTATTGACCCATCTTTGTTCAGTCATCTTTTCTTTTGAGGACACCCTGGGGATATGTGCTCTGCATCCTTTTCCATGGTGTTAGGTTGATTTTGCCTCCTCTGCTTCCTTTTGATCTGCGGTCTACCTTTCTGAGCTAGCTGGCCTTTTGTTTGTACCACCATTAAAGTTCTACTTTACTATAGGTCTTTCTTTGTCTCCCTTACTATATTGCAGCATTTGCACTTTTATAACCACTAAAGCACCTAACACCATGCCTTGTTCATTTAAGATACAAATGTGTGTACATTTGTGGAATTGAATTGTGGCATTATTTGTGTGTATGTAAAGTGCTATAGGGAAAGAACCAGTATAGACCCCCCCCAATCCATCTTCTCCCTTAAGAAATAGATTGAAACCAGTTGTCAATGTAAAGTCTCATGAGATCTGCCCCTTTAAAAAGCATGCTTACTGAGGACATGGGTATCTTGCCGAGAGACACCACTTGATTAAAATGTAAATTAGGTTATTTAGAATTTTGTAACTGAAATCTAATTGGAATCATTTTGAAAGTTTTCTTGCAATGGAAACATCAGATGCTATGGAATGCATGTGTTCAAATATCTTACCATTTTGAATTTAGGATTGTTTCCAGTTCACTTTTTTTTCCCCAGATACTAAACATTTTGAAAGGAGTAAATTAATTATGTGTCTCTCTTCCTCTCAGCTGGTATATTTTTGATTTCCATAGAAATCTTTCAGTTTCCCTAAAAAGGTAAGTGTTGTCACAGTGATTGGCACGCTTAAGAGTTAGTGATTTTGGCTACAGAAGAGTGATGCCTGGGGCAGGGGGTGAGTGGTACCTGGATATAGGTTTAGAACAGTTTCAATTTGGACTCTAATATTAATTGGTTTGAAGTAACTTCTTGGTTGGGTTAGACAGATATTTGATTTGTCTGATGTATTCTGAAGTCCAAGTAAGTATGGCATGATTATTTGTTAATAGTTACTACTATAGAATTGGAAAAGCCTTCTAAGTTGAACTTCATGGTTTACAAATCACAAGTGCCTGGCCTTTAGTGCTGAATGGAGGCAGTACTGACTCAATAACCAAGCTACTCTCAACTCACTTTCTTTGTAGTAGGAGTCTGACTGGAGCAGGGAAGAGAGGAAAGGGGGAAAGAAACAGATAGTTATTATTTGCAGTGAATGACAGTACTCGCTTTGCAGTTATAGGCTTGGTTTGAATTCTGGAATTGCCACTTTTTAGCTATATGACCTTGGGCAAAGTGTTTAAAAATTTTTAGTCTACTTTTCCTCATCTGCCAAATGTGGTTAATAACACCCACCTCATCAGGTAGTTGTGGGGTTTAAGTCAAACAACATGTATAAAGGGCCCAGATATGTGTACAGTATCCCTTGATAAATAGTACTGCAAATTATTCCTACTTTTGTTTCTCTCCTTAAAGAAATCCAACTTCCAAATGTAGAACTTTCTGTTGCTTAAGTTAATGCTGAGTTGGTAATCAATAATTCTTTTGGATCACAATGTTTTCATTAGAAATGAGCATCTAGGGCTGGGCGCGGTGGCTCACTCCTATAATCCCAGCATTTTGGGAGGCCAAGGTGGGTGGATCACTTGAGGTCGGGAGTTCAAGATCAGCATGGTCAACATGGTGAAAACCCATCTCTACTAAAAATACAAAAGTTAGCTGGGCGTGGTGGCAGGTGCCTATAATCCCAGCTACTAGGGAGGCTGAGGCAGGAGAATCTCTTGAACGCGGGAGGCGGAGGTTGCAGTGAGCCAAGATTGTGCCACTGTACTCCAGCCTGGGTGACAGAGTGAGACTTTGTCTCAAAAAAAAAAGGGAATGAGCGCCTTGGTTTAGCACTTTACTGCTCCACTCAAGCTGTAGACATTTTAGGAACGCATGTTCAGGTATGGTTTGTGTTCTTGATTGTATGGGACATGAGATCATGGCTCAATAAATGAAATCAAAACTTCCTTAGATGTGTTCTGTGGAACTCCAGAGTTTTCAGTAACATTTTAATGGCATATGTCTCCAAATTTGCCTTTATTAAATCCTACAATGGATACATTTGTGGGGATTTTGTAGTGCTGTAGTGATTTTTGTCTCTAGACAAAATCTCTAACTTTGGTTTCTAACCCTAGAGACAAACCAAATGACTTAGTGGCTAAAATGATGGACTTCAGAATCACCTTAGACCTGGTCTAGCCAGACAATGCAGAACTGTTGTTCTAGTCCCTGGCGCCCTCTTACTTGTTGTGTTAGTCTTACTCGCTGTAGACAAGTGACAACCTCTCTGAGCTTCAGTTTTCTAATCAGTTGAAGGGGGATAATGGTAGTTCTTTCCTTAAAATGAAATGATAGAGCTTAGATGAGATGAGATAATACGTATAAAGCATTCACCAAGTTCTTAGAACATAGTAGGTGCCTAACAGATAATCCTGTTTCTCCTTGCACATCCCCTCTTCCCTCCCTCTCCTTCTTGTCCTTATTTTCTCCTTTTTTCTCCACTGAGTTTTTAGAAAAGGAGAAAACTAGAGAGGTGAGCTTCAGGAAAAATATCTTTATTTCTGGATTGGCTTTGATTGCTGTGATTTTAGGACACGGACTATAGTTGTAGATGTTGCCCTGGCTGCGTATCAACAATGACTTCTTTTCCTTGATGTTTCTTCACAGGAAGGATCAGAATGTTCTCTCTCCAGTCAACTGCTGGAATCTCCTCTTAAACCAGGTGAAGCGGGAAAGCAGGGACCATACCACCCTGAGTGACATCTACCTGAATAATATCATTCCTCGATTTGTACAAGTCAGCGAGGACTCAGGAAGACTCTTTAAAAAGGTACAGAGATATTTCTAGTCACAGAGGTTCTTGGGTGGAGCAATGACACAATTTTTAAAATCCTATTAGATATTATGTTGATTACCTGGGTGACAAAATTATCTGTACACCAGACCCCCATGACATGCAATTTACCCATGTAACAAACTTGCACATATACCCCCCTTGAACCTAAAATAAAAGTTGGAAAGAAAAAATAAAAGAAAGAATATCTTATTGGCCCACTTCATAGGCTTTCCACTAGTCATTCCCTACCACATACTTGCGGAGAAAAAAAATATTTGAATTGGCATTCCTTTCTTCCTTTCTGAGCTGAATTAATAGTAGCCTTGGGAAAGGAACCATTTGCAAGGTATAAACCCAGGGCTGGTACTATAATTCATAATCTGCATCTATTAACAAAAACTGTGTTTTGGGAAGTTTTCTTAAAGTGATTTGTGAAGCTGTTGAGCTTAAGGGGCCAACACTGTCATTTTATGTTTTCCTATTCTAGTTCATTTAGCAAACTCATATACGTTTATGTTTTTAGTTTAGTTTTCTTCCCAGGGTCTTATCTTGGCCAAGGTAGACTCAAAAGTGTGGTTATTCTTATCGTGGTATGTCTTTGTCTTTGGGTCTCTGAATGCTTTCGGAACTCAATTGTTATCGTACTTCCTTGGGTATAGGTTGAACAATTTGACAAAGGAAAACTCAAAATAATCATGATAATCTTAAGGAGCCAATTCACCTTACCTGTCAACGATGGAACTAGCCTCTTGAAAATCCAGGAAGCTCTTTTCTAAGCTGTCTCAGCTTGAGCTCAAAGTGGAATCATTTATTCATGAGGTTGGGTTACAGACAGCGGTGAAGGCCCCAACCATTGTATATGATATGCCATGTCTACCATTCAAGCATTGACATCCCCGGAAGACTTTCCAGAAGGCAAATAATCTTCCTAAAAGTTATAGGTAGAAAAAGATTATAGAGGGCTATTTAGAATTCATCAGTTTCCAGGTGACAAAATCCATTATTAAAATTTGAAAGTATGAGAGAAAAGACTGGTAAACAGGATTGTAGTCGATACAGTCAAAGCTCTTGATCAGCTTTCCAGTTCTCAGGAATTTTTCCAGATTTCACTAGATCTGGAATTAATACCCCATTTTTTTTCTGTAATTACCAGCCTGATCAAATAACTGATTTGGAATCTTCCATCTACCTAATTGCATCCGTGAAGGTGCTTTCCCTGTGTCTTAGAGACAGAATATTGAGGGTACAATCATCTGACGACGAAAAGAAGGCAGAGAAAGATAACTCCTCCCAGAGCTCACTGGCTTTTATTAGTAGCCCGGCTGTGCTGTGGTTGGGGCCACACCTCATTTTGGAGTGAGGGTACTTCTCACCATCTCCTCCATGGTTTCCAGCATCAGCTTCAGCTTGGTTGTCATTAATTTGAATTATTCTGCAATACTTGGTGATGCATGTGTGTGACTAAAATTAAAACCTATTTAGGTGAAATTTTGACAGCTCGTCTCTATGACCTTGACAGCCACTTAGACTATCTCAAGAAGGAAAGGGCTTGACTGATAGTTTCCTCCTCCGTTTTCTTTGTTCATCTGAGAAAACAACTTTTATAAGATCTGTTCACCTAGCTAGACTTCACCCAGTCTCTCAGCTCCCTTTTTACCAAGCCTTAGAAGGTTAGAGAAAAACCAGGCTAGATAATTTAATAGCCTCTCCAGATCTCAGAGATGCTTATACTGAAGGCAGCCAGATAGCAAAGTCACGAGTGTTCCTGGCTCTTCAAGTGCCCTATGCACATTTCACCAAAGGTAGGTACATGGCATGTATACAAGGTGTGGGGCATATGACATCCATGAAGAAAATTCGTCTGTGAATGATATTCCTAGCCATGGGCTCAGGGTTGACTTCCTTAAGCCGTGTATTACTATGCTAGAGCGTGAGGAAGAACTTATTTCTCATAGGACTGTTTATATATTACATTTCACTGAAGAAAAGTATGCCTATTATAATTTAATAGCTATATGCATTTTCACAAACTGAATTCACACTTGTGTAACCAGCACCCAGATCAAGAAACAGAACATTTCTGTACCCTAGAAAGCCCCTCATATTCCCTTCTAGTCATCTCCCCACCCTAAATCCCCAAGGATAACAACTGTCTTGACTTTTAACAGCAGAGATTAGCTTTGCTTGGTTTCATACTTTATATAAGTAGAATTGCACAGTATGTACTCTTTTTTGTTTGGTTTCTTTCAATATTATGTTTGTGAGATTTATTCATACTGTTGTGTATAGTTGCAGATCATAGGAATTTCTCTTGATCTTTGTAACTTTGGATCAATTAAATTGTAGTTGATTAGAGACATGCCCAGGGTTGTTGAATGGCCAATGATTACTATCCCACAGGGTGAATAATCTCTTTTCTCCCTCCCTTGGGGCATTCCCATGTAGGCAGAAAACTCTTAAATTAGGAGCTGGTTGGCAGATCATAAAAATAGATTGAGCCAAGCACCATGGATCATTCCTGTAATCCCAACAACTCAGGAGGTCAAGGTGGGAAAATGCTTGAGGCCAGAAGTT
Organism: Homo sapiens; assembly: GCF_000001405.40. Classification (NCBI taxonomy): domain Eukaryota; kingdom Metazoa; phylum Chordata; class Mammalia; order Primates; family Hominidae; genus Homo; species Homo sapiens. The sequence goes on from NC_000001.11 coordinate 206,345,589, forward strand.
CAAGAACAACCTGGGCAACATAACAAGACCTTGTCTCTAAAAAAATTTTAAAAGTTAGCTGAGCATGGTGGCCTGTGCCTGTAGCCACAGCTACTTGGGATGCTGAGGTGGGAGTATTGCATGAGCCCAGGTGTTTGAGGATGCAGTGAGCCGTGATCATGCCACTGCACTCCAGCCTGGGCAACAGAACGAGACCCTGATAGTTTGAGGATGCAGTGAGCTGTAATCATGCCACTGCACTCCAGCCTGGGCAACAGAGAGAGACCCTGATGGTTTGAGGATGCAGTGAGCTGTAATCATGCCACTGCACTCCAGCCTGGGCAACAGAGAGAGACCCTGACTCCTAAAAAAAAAAAATTGATTCATTCTCTTTTGGCTGGGTAAAGAGCCTCTCTGCTTTCTAGTAATGGGCAAACAAACATTCTTCATACCACACCCCAGTTTTTTAACCTCTTTTGTTTAGAGTGTCGTTGCACATGAATTAGAATCCTACTGGTTAAGATATAGTATCAGATAAGAGTCCTAAGGAATGTCCTCAGCCATTCTGTAGTTACATGAATCTTCCCGGGGATTTGCTTTGTGCTATCAGAGGAGATGCCTTTTCCAAGTGACCCTTTCTCTTGGGCCTAGCTCTGCTCTTAACTCTGAGACCTTGGACAATGACTTCTTTCTGTGCCTCAGTTCCCTAAACTTTAAAAAAAGAGTGTGGTCTATGTGATCTCCATGGTGCCTTCCAAATTCAGGATACCACAGTTCTGTGACGATAAGGGGATCCTACACTGGGGGCTTCCTTCTGGTTGTTAGGTTACCTTTGTTAAATTGTGATAGGTAAATTGTAATCCCACAGATAAGGACAAACAAAAGTGGATATAGGTGTGGAGAGGGCTAGCTTAAGCAAATGAAGACCAGATTTCTTGAAGAATGAAGCATTATTTCAGGTGCTGATATCTACAGTGTCAGCAATGAAGAAATACCAAATTGGGATCCAAATACATAAAATAGATATGTTTTACCAGTAAATTTGGTTCCAGTGGCAAAAGGACCCATTTCTCTGGGGACATAGGCTTAGAAAAGATACCTTAATTTGTGGTATGGCTGTACACACCTGTGCTTTATGTGAATTTGGGTCTGTTTGTCACTAGCAAAAGTCATTTTTAAAAATCTTTTTTTAATCTATAAAACTTAATGATTCACTGCAAAAATTATGATAATAGAAGTCATTATATTTTGAACCTCTATGTGCCAGGTATTGTGTTAAGCACTTTATATGTATTATCTCCTTTAATCCTTACCATAATTTTATAAAGTAGTTACTATTGTCATCATCGCTGTTTTATGAAGGAAGAAACTATGGCTTAAAGAGATTAAGCAGGCCAGGCACAGTGGCTCAAGCCTGTAATCCCAGCCCTTTGGGAGGTTGAGGTGGGAGGATCGCTTGAAGCAAGGAGTTCAAGACCAGCCTGGGCAACATAGCAAGACTCTGTCTCTACCTCCCTCCCCCACTTAAAAAAAATTAGCTAGGCATGGTGGTACACACCTGTAGGCCTAGCTACCCAGGAGGCTGAGACGGGAAGGATCACTTGAGCCCAGAAATTTGAGGCTGCAGTGATCTATAATCATGCCACTGTACTCTAGCCTGAGTAACAGAGCCAGACCCTGTCTGTTTAAAAAAAAAAAAACAACAAAAAAACAAAAAACAAAACAGAGGGCTGAGAGCGGTGGCTCACGCCTGTAATCGCAGCGCTTTGGGAGGCCAAGGTGGGCAGATCACCTGAGGTCAGGAGTTCAAGACCAGCTTGGCCAACATGGTGAAACCCCGTCTCTACAAAAACACAAAAATTAGCCAGGCAAGATGGCCAGTGCCTGTAATCCCAGCTACTCAAGAGATTGAAGCAGGAGAATCTCTTGAACCCGGGAAGTGGAGGTTGCAGTGAGCAGAGATCATGCTGTTGCACTTCAGTCTAGGCAACAGAGCAAGACTTCGTCTCAGAAAAAAAGAAGAGAGAGAGAGATTAAGAAAAATGAAATGAAGCTAATGTTTAACTCCAGTCACCTGGCTCTAGAATCCAACGTTTTCATCTACATACTGTATTAGGATTCTCTAAGTATGTTGTACAGAGAAGAGAAAATCCTGGATTTTCTCTGTTTCATTGAATTCAGATATTTCACTTAGTTATAGAATTAACCTAATTTTTCTTTTGCACATAAACCTTCAAAGGGTATGGAGATGTTGAACATCAACATTGGATTGTTTTTCCTACCTGGGGTTGGGGCAAGCAGCTGGAAGTTGGGAATGAAATAGGGCAGCATGTTTATACTCCCCAGGGGCAAAATATCTGTGCCCCCTGTAAGAGGGAAACAAGGACTCATTAAATGTGAGAATTGGCCCCAAATCTGGCTCACAGCTAATTTAGCTAATTTAGGGATGTCAGGGTGGCTGCACAATTGGCCCCTCTATGCTATTGAACCCCCTTAAGGGAGGCTCCTTGCTAGCCCTCTGGTTTGTGGTAATGTCTGCTGGTACATATTTTACATTTTGCATGAAGCCATGTTGGAGATTCCTTTAGCTAAATATAACATCTGGAGAAAGTAGCCTCCTGTTCACAGCTTAAAAACAGACTGACTTTGTCTAGGACGAGAGGGAAAATTGAGCCCGTTTGGTGCTCCTGACATCTCCTTTCATGTAATGAAAGCTCAGTCTGTCTAACCTCTGTTGGAACCAGGGTTTGGGCAAATATTATTGCTGCCACCTTCATTTGTTTAATGCGGTGGCTTCAAAAACCATGGGCAAAAACTGCCAAGTTTGACTCCCATCTCCCTGTGGTCTCCATGAGGGGCATGTTCTAAAGAAGCCCACCAAGAACAGAAATAATTTTTCCCACTTGCTTAGTTTAAACTGAAATAAACTTGGGTGTGCTTTTTCCTACAGGAGAGAGGATAATCCTGTTTTCTCTTTTTACTTAGCTGGAACACACTAAAAGTACCTCTGACTTTGCTTTCTCAAATCACTGTTTCTAGCCCTTCACAGCTGCTCACACTTAAGCTTGGAAGCTGGTCAGTTCAGACAGTGCTAAGGCTCAGTTGCATCCTTATTTTTACAGCACTGCAGTGAACTGTACTCCTGTTTTGCTGTTAGGACTCTTAAGTTTCTATGGCAAAAATTTAGGTTAAATTGAAAAAGCCAAGTCAGATTCCCTATAGACCAGTAGCTTTCAACTTTGCCTGGGCATGAAAGTTACTTGGGGAGTTTTAAAAAAATCTTTGTGACCTTGAATAAACAAAGGTTTCTTAGAATATAAAAAGCATGAACCATAAAATTTTATAAAGGATAAGTCAGACTTCATCAAGTCTTGGACTTTTGTTCCTAGAAAGACTTTATTTACAAAATGAAAGACAAGACGCAGACTGGGAGAAAATATTTGTAATATGTATCTGACATGGACTTATATCAGATTATAGAATAAAGAACTCTGAGAACTCAGTAATAAGACAAACTACCCAAATTTTTAAAAATGGAAACAGGTTTTAATAAACATTTCACTAATAAAAATATACAAATGGCTAATCAACACATGAAAATATGCTCAATATCATCACTCGTGATGGAAACGCAAGTTAAAACTGTAAGAAGATATACCATACATTCACTAGGATGGTTAAAATTAAAACATCTGGCAATACCAAGTGTTAAGGAAGTTGGCCAGAACCCTCATATGTTGCTAGTGAGAGTGTGAAAGTGGTACAACCACTTTGGAAAATAGTGGCAGTTTCTTATGGCATTAAATTTGTACTTGTCATATGACCCAGTAATTCCAGGTATTTATAGGCATCTACCCAAGAGAAATAAAAGCATATGTCTAAACAAAGACTTGCACCTGAATATTCATAAAGCTTTTGTGATAGGCTGAGTAATGCCTCCCTCAAAAAAAAAAAAAAAAGAGGTCCATATTCTAACCTTTGGAACCTGTGAATGTTACCTTATGCATGTAATACTTTGCAGATATGACTAATTTAAGGATCTTGTGATGGGGATATTATGCTTAATTAGCTGGGTGGGCTGTAAATGCAATCACAAGTGTCCTCATAAGAAGGAGATTACAGATAAAAGAGAGGAAGGTCATGTGATAGAAGCAGAGGGAAACAGAGTCATAGAGAGAGGATGCTATGCCACTGGCTTTGAATATGGAGGAAGTGGCCATGAGCCAGTGAATACAGCTCTAGATGCTGGAAAAGGCAAGGAAACGGATTCTTCCTGAGAGCCTCCGGAGCAGAAGCAGCCCTGCTGACTCACTGGTTTCAGCCCAGTGAAATTGGTTTTGGAGTTCTGACCTCCAGAACTCTAAGAGAACAAATGTATGTTGTTTTAAGCCACCATGTTTGCAGTAATTTGTTACAGCTGCCTTAGGTACTTTATTCATAATAGCCCAAACTGGAAACAACCCAAATGTCCATCAACAGGTGAGTGGAAAAACATATTGTAGTGTATCCATATATCAATACTACTCAGCAATAAGAAGGGAAATGCTGATACAATATAAATGAGCTCAAAAAACATTATGTTGATAAAAAGAAGCCAAGCACAATGAGTACATTCTGTATGATTCTGTTTCTATAAAATTTTAGAAAAAACAAATCTGATCTATAGTGATAGAGAATAGATCATTGATTGCCTTGGGGCCAGGATGGGGATGAAGGATTGACTGCTAAGGGACACAAGGGAGTTTGTAGGGTTTTTATAGCCTACATTATATAACATTTTAAACAATGCTTTATAACATTTTTATAATGTTACATAATCTTGACCATGGTGGTACATTAGACAGACTTTATCATATTATACACTTAAAATGTGTACATTTTATTATGTAAATTATGCCTCAATAAAGTTGATCTAATTTAAAAAATACTCATGCCAAGACCCTACCCCAGCATGATTTAGTCAGAATCTCTGGAGTAGGGCCTGGGTGATTGTTGCCTACAGCTAGGGCTGAGAATCACTGCTGCACTGTTTTCCATCTTGGGGAAACTGCAGAGCACAGAGAATATCTGATGCCCTAAGATCCTGTCTATCTGTATGTGAGCCATGTTTGCCTCTGCAACAGACAGTGTTAAAGCATCTAGGCTAGTTTCTCTAGGCAACCCATTGTGGTTTCCTACTTTATTCTTGGAGGGTGATGAAGGGTGAAGTTAGCTTCAGATAAATAAATCTGGTGACAAAGGGTGAATCTGGCTTCCTTCACACTGCAGGAAGTGGGGAATGCAAGAAGAGTGCTGAGGAAGGAATGTAAGAGGCTCAGTTAATACTTTTCTCCGGGGCCTTGGAGATGTTAAACATGTCCTTTTGCCATTAGTGAATCAGTCACAAGAGAATTGCCACAACAGTCAGATTTCTTTTGGCACTAAGGAAATGAATCTGGTAGTTAAAAAGGATAAATGAGATTTAAAACTAAAAGCAGTGCATGTTACCTATCTGTTTGGTATCCATTTGGACTGAGATAGGATTTCCTATGGCGTGTCTTGAGTCCAGCTGTTTGGCATGTGTGAGAAGAGTGGATGATGAAACTGTGAGAGGGCATTTTGGGTGGTGTGATGGTCATAAATAAGAAGAGGAGAAGTGGTGACCCACAATGCTGGTATAGTTGAATGTCCCTGGTAAGTGCTGTGGATTGAATGAATGGAGGAAAAGAATGGTTTTCCAAAGGTTGTGTCCCTGTGCTCTGCCCCCTTAAGAAAGGGTTTAACTCTTTGGGAGAAGGAGTAGATGAGTGATTTAACCCTCCCTCCCTTCCCCGTCTACCATATCCCTCCTGCTCGTCTGAACTCAGTATCTGTGATTGGACTGAATTTCCTCCACATTATAGCATGGTCACTAACAGCGTTTGCACAGTGCTTTACGGACAGCTGTTCCAGTTGCCCAGTTTATCTTGTTGGTAGCAAAAATCTGTTCTAATTAATTGAGCTTTATTCTCTCATATCTGATGAAAAGATCCTCTTTGGAGAAAAGAATAGAATGTGAAGCTGAGCTTATTTGAGTAGGGGATGGAAGGCTGCCAGCTACTTCAAAGGTATCTCTGCTGATAAGGGGCGTCAGGTTTGCTGCCAAAGCCAACACCGAGGGGAGCTTTGCAGCTCGTGCTGTTGGGGGTGTTTTAGCTTTGGTTTCTGTGACACTGGGTCAGCAGCATCTGTGTGCTCTCCCTTGAGGCTGCTCTCTGGGTGGTCCAGGCTTTTATTTAGACTTCGGAAGGTGCAGCTCAAAGGGAATGTGTGCATCAAAGATGTCTGTAGTCTTTTGCTTAGGTTAGTTTGTGTGTTTGCCTTTTTGGTGTTTTAGTTCTTAGGTATCTACCTTTTCTAAAAGAGCTCAAGGTGCTATATTTAGAACTTTCAAAAGTATAATAGTACTTCGATTTGTATAAATCAAAGGATTATTAAGGGAATCTGAAGACGAGGAATGGAATATGGGAAATGGAATATGGGAAAGAGAGGTGCAGTAGACAAAAAATAAAAGTGTCCATATGCAACCTTGTATTGGAATACTACCCTAAATTAGGAGATTATACAGTCAATAAGTATTTTAGTGAATACTGCATGCACAGCATTATGCTGCTAGGTGCTTAAAAGAGCTTGAAAATCAAATTGAGGAGTAAGATTTGCCTCCCAAGGGAGCTTGGGGTTTTTGGTTTATTTAGGTCTCTCAAAACTTTCTGTGGGATGATGATGATGACAAAGTAATAATAGTAACCTTTCGTAAAATTCACACTGTGAATACCTCCCACTGTAGTAGGCCCTAGATGTGTATTTTCTCTGAACCTTTCATCTATTTTTGCAAAGTTTTTTTCCTAAACTATTTATGAAAGTATAAAATACTTAGAGAAAGTACACATATTATAAAGTGTACAGCTCAATGAATTTTTACAAACTGAATACAGCTATGTAATCAGCACCCAGATGAAGAAAGAATGTTACTAGTATCCCATGAACCCTCCTTCTCTCCACTTCAAGTCATTACTCTCTGAAGGGTAACCATTATCCTGACTTCTAACACAATATAAGTATTTGCCCATTTAAAAATTTGTTTGTGTAAATGGAATCAGATAATTTTTTTCAACAACTTGAATATGTAATTCACTTGCCTTCTGGCCTCCATTATTTCTGATGAGAAATCAGCTGTGGTTCTTAGATTCTTATTATTGCTTACTTGTATGTAATATATCATCTTTTTGTTTGTTTGTTTGTTTGTTTTAAAGAGATGGAGTCTCTGTCCCCCAGGCTGGAGTCCTGTTGCATGATTACAGCTCACTGTAGACTCAAACTTCTGTGCTCAAGCAAACCCAGTCCTTCCATCTTGGCCTCCCAAAGTGGTGGGATTACAGGCGTGAGCTGCCATGCCCAGCCCTTCTTTATTTGGCTGCTTCCAATATTTATTCATTATCTTTGGTTTTTAGTTCTTTGATTATCATAAGAGTGTAAGCGTGGTTTTCATTGTATTCCTTTGGCTTGGTTAAATATAATATCCAGACAATCCCTGATCTGTCAAATATCTAATTTGTAGAAATTGTAGGAAAAATATCAATTTTTTCCTCAATTTGAGAAAAATTTTTGGCAAATATTTTTTTCTGTCCCATCTCTCCTTCCTGTTTTGCTTTGTTATCAATTGCATGTATGTTAGACTACTTGATTCAGTCCCACAGCTTGTTAATATTCTGTCCATTTTTTTCAAATTTTTGTTTTCTGTATGCTTTAGTTTAGATGATTTCTAAAGTTTACCAATTTGGCTGGGCATGGTGGCTCACACCTGTAATCCCAGCACTTTGGGAGGCCAAGGTGGGTGGATCACTTGAGGTCAAGAGTTTGAGACCAGCCTGGCCAACATGGTGAAACCCCGTCTCTACTAAAAATACAAAAATTAGCTGGGCATGGTGGTACGTGCCTGTAATCCCAGCTGCTCAGGAGGCTGAGGCAGGAGAATCACTTGAACCCAGAAGGTGGAGTTTGCAGGAGGCTGAGGCAGGAGAATCACTTGAACCCGGAAGGTGGAGTTTGCAATGAGCTGAGATTGTGCCACTGCACTCCAGCCTGGGAGACAGAGCAAGACTCCATCTCAAAAAATAAATAAATAAATAAATAAATAATTAAAACAACCAATTCTTTCTTTTGTTCACCTAAGATGCTATAAATGCCATCCAATGAATTTTTTTTATTTCAGATTTTTTTTTTTTTTTTTTTGAGATGGAGACTCACTTTGTCACCCAGGTTGGAGTACAGTGGTGTGATCATAGCTCACCGTACCCTCAGACTCCTGGGCTCAAGTGATCCTCCCACCTCAGCTTCTCATGTGTCTGATACTACAGGTGTGTACCATCATGCTTGGCTAATTTTTTTAGAGATGGGGTCTCGCTGTGGTGCCCAGGCTAGGCTTGAACTCTGGGGCTCAAATGATCCTTCCCCTTCAGCCTCCCAATTATTGTATGGATATTTTTAAAACATAGTTGGCAATTACTTAAAAATCCTTGTTTGCTATTTTTAACATTGACATTATCTGTGGGTCTGTTTATTGATTTTCCTCTTGACTTTTTTTTACATGCCTACTAATCTTTTATTGCATATTGGACATCATAGATAATATGTCATAGAAACTCTAGGTGTACTTATCTTCCTCTGAAGAGTATGAAGTTTTATTCTAGGAGGCTATTAAATTACTGGTTGATCACCTTGATCTTGTGGGGGCTTGGCTTTATACTTCATTACAGTGGGTATATTTTGGTTTTGCCCTTCGTCTTAGAAAATACTGTATACTTAAGGCATGGCCTTTCTGGGGTTTTCATGGGAAGCCCAAGATGTTTATCAAGCCCCTCTAACTTGGCAGGCTTTGAATGCCAAATTCTATCTTCCTTACAGTGGGCAGCACCTAAGACGACCAACTATCCTGTTTGCCTTGGGCTGAGGGGGTTCCTAGGACATGAGACTTTTAGTTTATCTGTTCAATTGTTGATGGCATTTGGATAGTTTTCAGTTTGAGGCTATTATGTATGTTATAAATAATGCTGCTATGAACATTATAATGGGAAGTTATTCTTTCCAATGTATGGTTGAACCTGGTCACAAGCCAGGCTTTAAGAATAGTGAATTCAAAACCTTTTCTCTCTCTTTCTCTCTCTCTCTCCTTCTCTCCCTCCTCTGTCTCTCTCCCTCCCCCCCTTCCTTCTCCCCTCTGCCTTCTCTTCCCTCTCCTTTCTCTCTTCCTTTTCCTCTTTCCTTCTCCCTCTCCTTGTTTCCTCCCTCCCTTCCTTTTCTCTATTCTTTTGAATAATCTTTTAAATTTTATAGTAGATGTATGTTATAGAAAATTTAAAAATACAGAAAGCAAAAATATGATATAAAGAACAGATTTATTGTACATACTATTTTGTAATCTACTGTTTTAGTCAAGACCTTCTCCTTTACATTTCAATAAACTTTTGTCTCATCTAATACCCAGGCCATGTTAAAGATTTAATTAATTACTCAAAAAATCTCTTTGACAACTAGTTTGTCCAAGCCAGTATCTAATGCACACAGTTTTATGTCCCTTAAGTGTACTTTAATCTAGTATTATTTTCTTTCCATGAAACTGATTTGTTGAAAAGGCCAAGCCAGATGTCCTGCAAAATCTCCCATCTTCTAGATTTGTTTGGTTGTTTACTTGTGTTGTTAAGCTTCTGCCCGTATCCCATATTTCCTGTAAATTGGAAGTTGGTTCTAAAGGTCCAAGTGGATTCAAGTGACTTAGAATGCATAATAAGTGATGTTAGTACTTCATGTAGCATCAGAGCAGGAAATACATAACATCTAGTTAGTCTACCGATAGTGATGCTAATATTGGCACCCTCTAGAATAGGGCTGTGATAGTCTGACCCTTCCATTTTCTAGTTACATTTTTTAAATCACATGATAGAAACCTGATTGTAAGGTGTTATTCATGGTGCCAGCCTACAAATATTGGGTGCCAGTTCAGTCATTCGTCTGATAATTTTAGTATCAGTTGATAATTTTAGACAAGTTACTTTTTGTCATCTTTGTACCTCTCTTACTTGACTATAAGATGCCTCTCTGAGGCTGGGCACAGTGGCTTATGTCTGTAACCCCAGCACTTTGGGAGGCGGAGGCAGGTGGATCACCTGAGGTCAGGAGTTTGAGACCAGCCTGACCAACATGCTGAAACCCTGTCTCTACTAAAAATACAGAAATTAGCCAGGCATCGTGGTGTATTCCTGTAATCTCAGCTACTCAGGAGGCTTAGGGAGGAGAATCGCTTGAACCTGGGAGGCAGAGGTTGCAGTGAGCCAAGATTGTGCCATTGCACTCCAGCATGGGTGACAGAGCAAAACTCCGACTCAAAAAATAAATAAATAAATAAATAAAATAAAAATGCCTCTCTGAGAAAAGGAGAGGATTGTTAATACAGCTCATCAGGCACCATGCAAATAGTAGTTTGTAAAAACGTATTAGTCTTGGGAGAAACCACACACACGAATAGTGTGCAAGCTGACTAGGTGTCAATTTGTTATTATTAAGAATCACAGCAATAATTTTTTTAAAAAAAGCATAATTCTAAATGAATGCTAACCATGCCTAGGGACTGTGCTAGGTGTTTTACATGTATTAACCTATTTAATCTCATCACAACGACACTTTGAGATGAGTACTGGTTTTATCATCCCCATTTGTAGATAAGAGCATGGGCAAAGGGTTTAAGCAATTTACTGAAGATTATACAGCTGGTTGATGGGAGAAATGGGATTCAAGCCTAGGCAGTTGGCTTCCCCTGATCTCTTCACATCATCATGCTCTGCTGCCTTGCATGTAGGAAGGTGGCAGTCATATTGGTAAGCTAAAGAACCAGTGCTTGTGCAGGGAATTAATGACTCATGCATTCTGCAGTCATATGTTGCTGTGCTTCTGTCAGGTCAGAATTTCCATTGTGCTATTCTGATTCTGCTTCTTGCCCAGCTTGTCCAGAGAGAGAGTAGCACCTTTGATTTTAGCCTCCCTTGTTGCAGGACAGGCTTCTGTTGACTCCCCTATTTATCTTTGTCAAGACTTTTCCTTTGAATTCCTCCCTGCTTGTCTGAGCATGATTTTTATTTAAAGTGAGGACAAAATTTAAGTTTTCCTCCTTTTGACACAGCGTCTTCAGTTTTTTTTCATTTTCATCTTCTTTCCTTACAATACTGGACTTTCTCTGGTCTTTTAGTTTTTCTACTAGATCCTACCTTTCTTTGCTTTTAAGCCCAGCCCTTGGGGTTTTTTGTTTTGTTTTCTTTTTTTTTTTCCTTTTTCTCTGTTCTCTACAAATCATTTGGGTCTACATCCAGCTTCTCCCAGCATTTACTCAATATGAAACTTCCAGTTATAGATTAATTTGAATTCTTTGCACTAATTGTTTAAAAGACCATAGGAACCTCAGACCATCCCTCTTCATGGTCTCAAGAGCTCCCAGAATCATCCTCTTGGTAAGCTAAGTAGTTATTAGTAAGGCCCAGGGACAGGACTGAGAAGTAACATCTTCTATTTTTTATTTCAGTTTTCCTTTAAGTTGGAAGCAAACAAACAAAAAACCCTTCAGCTTAGGGTTTTTTCAATTGTTAAAGTAATACTGAGCTTCAGTTAAGGCTATGAAAGAAAAGAAAAAATTTTAAAAAGTAGTAACGTGTTTTTTTCAAGATATTGTGGGTAAAAACATAATAAAAAGAAAATAATAATTACTTGGAATCATGATTAACATTTTGATGTATTTCCTTCCAATCTTTTTTATACACATTTTTTTAAAAATGAGAGTTACATTATATATTAAGCTTAGTGTAATTTTTTTCATTTAACATTTGGAGAAGCATTTTTATCATGTCATTGCATCTTCTTTTAAATGTTGCCTATATGATCATACAGCAGTCTGTAGTCTGGCTGTCCCTTAGGTTTTTCATATATTCCTTATGGTTCTTTGGCTATGTTGTCTTTTTTTTTTTTTTTTTTTTTTGGAGATGGAGTTTCTTTTTTTCAGGCTGAAGTACAGTGGCGTGATCTTGGCTCACTGCAACCTCCGCCTCCCGGGTTCAAGTGATTCTCGTGCCTCAGCCTCCCGAGTAGCCGGGATTACAGGCGTGGGCTACCACATCCAGCTAAGTTTTTTGTGTTTTTTTAGTAGAGGTGGGGTTTCACCATGTTGGCCAGACTGGTCTTGAACTCCTGAACTCAAGTGATCTGCCTGCCTTGGCCTCCCAAAGTGCTGGGATTTCAGGCGTGAGCCACCACGACCAGCTGGCTGTTGTCTTGACTCTCCCCTGGACTATGTTCTTGTACATCTAGAAGCAATTAAAAATCTCATTGTTGTCTTTTTGGAAATCACTTGTTTTTAGGATGACTAGGTAGCCAAGGCTTTCATTTGGAAATACCCTACTTCCATTTAATATAAGGTAAGGAGAGAGGGTTTTTCCCCCTGCTGCTTTCCCTTTTTCTTCCTCTTCTGTCTTGCTCATTGTCTTAGAGCTTAGCTGAGAATCAGTGCTACGCCTGAGCTTGGGCCCTGGCTGGCTCAGTGGAGTTCTTTCACCATGCTGAGTTTCACTTTCCTCATCTTTACACTAATGAAATTACTCATACCCTCACTGTTCCTTCTCAGAATGCTATAGGCATCAGTAAAACCTGGGAACAAAGTGCTCTGCAAAGTTATGTTATGGTCAGAAGGTATCTGGTTGTGTTCATGCAGAAGAGCGTGTGTCTTGTGCCTTCGCCCAGCTAGGGTGGTCTTTGCAATCTCTAAGCTAATCTTTTTTTAGCGGTATATTATCATATAGGCTAGAAAGGAAATACAGAGAACAAACTGGGAGATCCAGTCTCCAACTTTAATCATCTCTTCTCCAAAGCCAAGATAATCCAAGCCTTCTGCCCACATAAGCATTGCATCCCTTCCTGCCTTGCCTCTTCCCATGACCTTGTTTTTCTTTTGATGTTCATTTTGAGGGTGGAGAGTAGAAAAAGCATTCTCTTTTTGCTGCTCTCAGAGTCAGTGGTCTTTCTGGACCTTTAAGTTCTCAGGCAAGGAAAACCACATAGTCTACCTGAGCTTTCAGGGACTGAAGGAAAAAAAAAAGTATTGCTTTACTCAAATTCAGGACCACAAATAACCACTACCAACCCATTCAGTTGAGTTTAATAATATTATTTTATTGTCTGTAATTGCTCGGTATTCAAGTTGGCAGTATAAAAGGCCTGCAGAGCAAGCTTAAAACATGGTTCAAGATCTTAGATTTCTTACATCTCAGGTGAAAGACAGACCATAGACTCCCAAAGCAGGTTACAATTTAGATAGCAATGTAATGAGTCGTACAGACAATTTGTTGTCTATAGGATCTTGGAAAAAAAACAGATTCATGAAAAGTGAGTCAGGAGAGCTTCATAGAGGGGAAAGAATTGGGCCGATGTTCTTTTAATTACCTGCTGCCAGGATTCTCAATTAGCCATCTGTTTCTTATCTTACAGAAATATCTTTTGAAGATTTCCATATTATCTGATTCCAAGTTCCTTTCCTGCCTCTTTGTCCCCATTAGAGATGTCACTCATGAGGACAGTCTGACAGCAGAGACTTCCTTTTGACCAGCAATGGGAGAAATATGTGGAAATAGCCTGAAGCCTGAGTATAGAAGGCTTTGAATGCCAGTCCAAGGAGTTCAAACTACAGGTCAAAGAGAGCCATTGACAATTTTAGGCAGGGCAATGAAATCTTGAAAACCATGATTTCCAGTGGCATTGGCAGCAGTACTCAGTGTGGTTTAGCATGGAAGAAACTATATAGGAGCCTGCTACAATAATTCAGAGGGATAATAGAAACTTGGATAATGACAATGGGAACTAAAAGAATTAGATTTACCAGAAGGCAGAGGAAAGACATTATAGACAGGACTGAGTGGCCTGACATGAGGTGGGAGGAGGTCATTCAACTTAGTCATTCAGCAGTTCACTTAGTCATTCAGCAGATATTTACAGTGTGCCTCCCATGTTCCAGGCACTGTGCTAGGCACTGGAATATAGCAGATAACAAAAAGTTCTTGCCTTCATGGAGCTTATATTCTAATAGTTGAAACAGATAATACATAAAAAAGTAAATATATAATATATCAGATGATGATAAAATGAAACAGGGCAAAGAGGATGGGGTACAAGGGATATTGCTCTTTTTTTTTTTTTTTTTTTTTTTTTTGAGACGGAGTCTCGCTCTGTCGCCCAGGCTGGAGTGCAGTGGCGGGATCTCGGCTCACTGCAAGCTCCGCCTCCCGGGTTCACGCCATTCTCCTGCCTCAGCCTCCCAAGTAGCTGGGACTACAGGCGCCCGCCACTACGCCCGGCTAATTTTTTGTATTTTTAGTAGAGACGGGGTTTCACCGTTTTAGCCAGGATGGTCTCGATCTCCTGACCTCGTGATCCGCCCGCCTCGGCCTCCCAAAGTGCTGGGATTACAGGCGTGAGCCACCGCGCCCGGCCGATATTGCTCTTTTATATAGGGTGGTCAGAGACGGCTTCACTGATAAATTGGCATTGGAACTGATTCTTGGAGGAAATGAGGGATTTTGCTGTTTAGCTCTTTGAGGAAGGTATTTCAGGCAGAGATAATAGTGCACATCTAAGGCCATGAGATGGGAATGCGCTTATCTGGTTTGAGAAACAGTAAGGAGACCTTGTACAGAGTAGGCAAGAGGAAGAGTGGTGGGAGATGTGGTCTGGGGCAGCGAGCAGGTTTCTTCAGGAAGGGCCTTGGAGGCTACTGGAGGACTGGAGAGGCATGATACAGTCTGACTTCTGTTTAAATGGGATTATTCCAGCTTCTGTGTGAAGAGAGTGCTTTAGGAGGAGTAGGGTGGAAGCAGCAAGGGAAGACCAATTAAGGGAGCTTCTATAAATAATTAGGGCAGGAAATCATAGTGGATTGAAACAGGGTGGAGCTGTGGAGATGGTGAGAAGTGGTCAAATTCTGGGATATATTTTGAAGATGGAGCCAATAGGATTTGCTGCTTGATTGATATGGTGTATGAAAAAAATAGCAGTCGAAGATGACCCCAAGCATTCTGGCCTGAACAATTCGAAGTTGGAATTGCCATTTATTGAGGGAAGTGTGTGGAAGAGCCACTGATTCTAGTCAAGCCCTGTAATTCATGAAGAATCTGAGAGCCAATGAGAAGTAACTTGCCTTAGTTTACCCAGTTAGGTAGTAGTTGAGATGTGACTGAAACTACCAGGTCTTCTAAATTCTACTCACTGCTCTGTCCAGTACATACCATATTTCTGACTTCAGCTTTAGACATGGTAAAGGGAAGGTTTAGTGAGGGCAAGAGCTAGAAGAAGACTTGAAAATTAACCACACAAAAGACCAGTTGAGGTCATGAAAGGGTATTCAGAGTAAAGGGTAGTTGAGGCCTAGAAAGAAGACTTTGAAGAGCTAGCAAAGAAGAGAGAAGAACAAATTAAAATGGGCAAAAGGAAAATGAGAGTAATATGGCTCAAAGGACTTAAGAGAGAAGAAGACTCAATGATGAGTTCTATGAAGGGGTCAGGAAGAATGGGAACTGAACAAATGTCATTAGATTTGGGTTTTAGAATCTTGGGAAACTGTGGTGCCTACAACTTAACCTCCTTTAAAATTTTAAGCACTTTTCTTGCCGTTTCAGCTAATAAGGAGAAGGAATATAACAGGGTAAGCCTGAGACAGAGAATTAAAAACAAATTTACTTCCAACTCCTGCATTACCTTCTTGTGAATCCTACACAAGAATTTGACTTTCCCAGACTCCCATATGCCCATCTATAAACTGAACAAGAAGCATACTTCTTGCCCACTTTGCCTCCTGGAGATCCTGTGAGGATAACAATGACAAAGGATAGGAAACTGCTTTGGAAGAGAAATGCTACATAAATCAAGATATCCTTTTCTAGCTGACTTTAAGTTTTTAATTTAAGAAAAATTCTTGAAAGAGTCACAAAAAACTTTACTTTAGAGATACACTAAATGCAGGACGTGTTGACTGATAAAATAGATATTCTTCTTGGAAACAATGGAAAATACTTCAGTATCATTTTGATTAAATCTTGCTTAATAACTGTTCATTAGACTCATATCAAATCCTGTCTTGGCTTTGTTATTTAATTTAATTTAATTTTGTAGTCATTGTTACCCAACCACAAAAGAATTACCCCTGTGCTTAAGGCCACACAGATTTTTCAAACATTGATATATCAGCATTGGTCCTTCTGATGAAACACAAGATGAGGTTTTCCCTGCTGAGTGTCAGGCAGTCTGTCTCAAGCTGCAGGCTGAAGCCCCAGTGGAATCTAATTCCATCCTTCCAGTCCCCTTCATACGAAGAGTGGGAAATAGTGGGAATGGAAATTAATTGTACCTGCTGGCATTATTAAAGTTATCAGTGCGTATCCCCTCTTGGGCCAGGAAGATTAAAAAGGCTGTTGTAATCAGAGCACATGATTTCTGACACACTGGATGGGCTTCCTCCCCAGGTTAGATGTAAGGAAGTGATCTGAGCTTGTTGCCTCTGGCCTGATACCACATAGCTCGGGGCTATGCAGTGTCTGCCTCATCCTCCCATCAGCCCTGGAGGAAAGCCAGGATCCTGCTCTCTGAATCAGAGATCTCTTAGTTGGAAAATCAGGCCTTCTCACTTAAGACTAGTGTATTCTGGCTGCGCATTCCTCACAAGATGTAGTCAGGTTAGGTTAGACCTTAGAGTCACACCTTGTTCAGGTTCAACCTGAGTGAAATAAGGAATTGAGGTGCTGCTCCCTGGTGATTCAGCTCATTTTAGCAAGTGTTTATTAAATGCTTTCCCCAAGCACCACACCAGGCCCAGACAATTCTGCCTGTACACATCCTGTGGTATTTGTTGGTTGGAGGAAAGAGGCTCTTGTAGTTTATGAATTAAAGAAAAAAAATTCCTGATCTGGGAATGAGAATCTTATCCTACGTTTCACACTGACTCACAGCCTAACTTTGACTGTGAATGCCGCCTAACTTTGTAACCTGTCTAGGACTTAGTTTTCTAATCTGTAAGATAATGGTTTGGACTAATCTCTCTAAGATTTATCTCTGAAATTCTGTAATTAAGTGAGGGAATTTCTATGAAAGTGCTTGGCAAACCATTGGGCTATTATGATAGTTCTAAGTGGAAACAGTATGTTTCCTCAATACACAGTGAATTGAGTTCTGACTCTCTGGGGCAGATAGATTTCTGACTTTCTGGGCCATGTGTTGAGAATATGAAGATGGCTGATGTGGCCCCTGATATTGAATACAGTGTCTAGTGGGAGAAATAGACATGCACATAAGCTATGATGATACAGTGTAATAATGGGTTCTTGGGTGGAGGGAAATATGAGGTGAGGTTTGCCTTATGATGTCCTTTGTATCTTAGGAAGAATGGGAGTGTAGGAGAGGGGAGCATAGGGGATTTCTGGGAGATAAAACCATTTATGCAGAAAGCAAGGAAGTATAATAGATGAAAAGCGTTCCGGAACTACAGGTGGTGTGGGTGAGGATGGCTGCACACAGGTCCCTTGTAGGGGAGTGGCAAGCGATGAGGCTGAGGAGGTGGGCAGGGCCTTGCCTGCCACATCAAAGGGCTTATACCCTGAAGCCAGTGAAGCAGAAGCCCCTGTAATGTTATTGTTTTAACTTCTTATTTTGAGATAATTTCAGACTTAAAGAAAGATTGCAAAGTAGTCCAGAAATTCCTCTGTACCCTTAACCCAAATTCCCCAAATGTTAAAATCCCATCTTTCCAATATTTGGGGGCGAGATTTTTAAAAAATCTCGTATAAGCACAGTACAATGATCAAAATCAGGAAATTAACACGGAGGTAATACTATAATCTCTCAATCTTACTGAAATTTCACTTGTTGCCTTGCTAATGTCCAATTCAAATTTCTGGTTCAGGGTTCAGTTTAGGATCACACATGATGTCGAGGTGAACTGTCATCTTAGTATCCTCTAATCTCTGACAGTTCCTCTGTCTTGCTTTGTCTTTCATGGTTTTAAAGAGTTCTGGTCAGTTATTTTGTAGAATGTTCCTCAATTTTGGTTTGTTTGGTTTCCTCATGGTTGGATTCAGTTTAAGCAATTTTGGCAAGAACACCGTAGAAGCGATGTCATATTTTTCTTAGTGCGTTATATCAGGAGGCACTTGCCGTTGATTTGTCCCCATTACTGACGGTGATAATTTTAATTACTCGGTGAGGATGGGTGTCCCCTTTGCAGTGTAATAAATGTCTTGTGAAGATACTATGTAAATATCCTATTTCTCCTCATCTTTTGCTTACTAATTTTTAGCATGCTTGTTAACTGAAACAATCCTACTAGCGGATTTTACCAAGAGAGTGCCATGGACAGATTTGCCTTTTAGAAAGATTACTCTGAAATGTTTGGATGTGAGAGAGATGTGAGAACAGGGAAAAAGTTACTACAGTAGTTCATTCAAGAGCGGGGCCCTGATCTAAGGCAGTGAGAGGAGGAGTAGAGAAGACAGAAGAGCCATTTAGGCTATGTTTGGAATCAATAAGCAGGGTTTACATTTTGTGCTATAGATTTAAATGCTGGAAAAATTCTGAAATGGGGGGAAATATCACATTTTTTATAGATTAACAGGCATCTATATAACCTCTGGGTTGCTCTTCTTTTTTTTTTTTTTTTTTTTGAGATGGAGTTTTGCTCTTGTTGCCCAGGCTGGAGTGCAGTGCGCGATCTTGACTCACTGTAATCCCCGCCTCCCAGGTTCAAGTGATTCTCTTGCCTCAGCCTCCCGAGTAGCTGGGATTATAGTATGTGCCACCATGCCTGGCTAATTTTTGTATATTTAGTAGAGACAGGTTTTCACTATGTTGGCCAGGCTAGTCTCGAACTCTTGACCTCAGGTGATCCACCCGCCTCGGCCTCCCAAACTGCTGAGATTACAGGCATAAGCCACTGCACCCGGCCCTGGGTTGCTCTTCTAAGAATAGCTGACTTTATTAAACATATTGTAGGTTTCATTAAATGATGTTTCACAAGGTGTTGCTTCTCCTGGACCAAATTCCTGTTGTTCAGCTGAGAGCTATTTCTAATCTCCAGTGTGGATGTGCTCATCATTTGGTTATAGGATGTGAGCAAATGAGATGGTGTTCTGCGTAGCCCAGAGGCTGCTTCCATTAGCCCTTTCCCGAAACTTTTGCCACTTTCAGGCTTAGCAGTATCCTCTCTTGGGTTCAGAATGCCTGCTCTTTGCCCTAATACAAAACCTAGAGCTGTAGGCCATGTTCTTATGATTTGACAGTATCAGGGAAGCATTTCTTATTGACTTTTCCAGAGAAAGAGAGAAAATAAGCAAGCCGGCAACAAGACAGAGGGGAAAAGGGAAGTGGCTCAGTTCTTACTTTAAGAAACAACATGGAAGATATGTTTGTTGATTTGAGGGTGGTGAATTTTTGCACTATAGCTTTGTGAGGGAGCTGGAAAGAGCCTTTCAGTTTTTCATGACTGGGAGTTTAATTTGGTTTATAACATTACTTAAAGATAACTTTGAAATTGGTCTAAGAACTTAGGGTTGTTCCTGACCCCAGGTCAATGGCCTACTTGACCTAGGCGAGAGGAGAAAGAGTTAAGGATAGGGAGTTGAGCTTTTTGCTCCAAAATCTATAGAGGGTACACCCCTCTTATATTCTGGAGTCTTACTGGGTTTCTGAAAATGCCCTTGTGGGTCATGAAACAATAGTCCTTTGAATATTTTTCTGCCGCTGCTGATGTGAGCTGCTTAAACTGGCAGGCAGATGATGGAAGGAATGGTTACATGTCCCAGGCGGGAGGTCATGACAGTTGGATCTGTGGTTGACAGAAGAATTTCAACACACATTCAAATCAGCTCCTAAGATAGATTGTCTGAGTTCCCTGGGCCTGCCTCATGCCCTCCTCAAATGCATTTGACTCCTTCTGGCCCGTAATACTCACACTTCAAATGTTTGGCTTGGCGTCCACAAATCAACTCAGGGCCGGGGTAGGCGTACTGATGAGCAGTGATGCCCTCTTTGGGAGCTACCACAGCATAGGAAATGAACATTAGACCAGGAATCAGGTAACCTGGTTGGGGACCCAGGGCTCTAGATGGTTTATTTTTTTATTTTCCTTATTGGTTAAATTCCCTACCGCAGTTTTGACATTCTCTTCTGGATACTGACTGTGGTCTAGAGAAACAGCTAAGGAAGGCAAATCTGAATTAAAATCTGGTTCTTGGGAAAGAACTGAAGTTTTCAGATTTTGCAAAATTATGGAGAGTGCAGACTAGGAGAAAAAGGACAGGCATAGTTGTGACAAGGAGCTCTTTTTTCTAGTTCTGCATTCTAGAAACAGTACTGATGAGTCCAAAAATATAGAGATAAAATTTGTCTTTTTTCTTGCTTTAAAAAAGAAATGCTTCTAAATGTCTACATACTTGCCTAAGAAAATATTTCTCAACTCCTCCAGAATATTTAGGGTTAACTAAAAATTATAAAAACATACCACAGAGCTAGTCCACTCTTTATGCCTAGGGTTTACCCAAAAGGTGTGCATGCTCTGGCTTGGAGACCCTGACCCCATCTCAACTTGCTGGTTTCAAGTCTACATATTTGGCTGCAAAGCCCTAATGCCAGGAGGAATGCGGAACTGATGAGTCCACCCCATCTACAAGCTAGAAGGACATCTTGATTAAATTAGTGTCAAGGGGGGTGGAGAGAAAGGCACAGTGACACAAAGGGTGTTTTGAGGAGCCC